>NC_000005.10:23641154-23944184 GCF_000001405.40 Homo sapiens | reverse complement strand
TGAATAAGTCTCACAATATCTGATAAGTTTATCAGGGGTTTCTGTTTTTGCTTCCTCCTCATTTTTTCTCTTGCAGCTGCCATATAAGAAGTGCCTTTCACCTTCCACCATGATTCTGAGGCCTGCCCAGCCGTGTGGAACTGTAAGTCTAATTAAACCTTTTTTTGTTTCCAGTTTTGAGTATGTCTTTATCAGCAGCATGAAAATGAACTAATACAGTAAATTTGTACCAGGAGTGGGATGTTGCTGTAAAAATACCCAAAAATGTGGAAGCAACTTTGGAACTGGATAACAGGCAGAGGTTGGAACAGTTTGGAGGGCTCAGAAGAAAAGAAAGTGTGGTAAAATTTGGAACTTCCCAGAGACTTATTGAATAGCTTTGCCCAAAAGGCTTATAGCAATATGGACAATAAAATTCAGGCTGAGGTGGTCTCAGATGGATATGAGGAAATTGTTGGGATCTGGAGCAAAGGTGACCCTTGTTATGTTTTAGCAAAGAGGCTGGCAGCAGTTTGCCCCTGCCCTAGAGGTTTGTGGAACTTTGAACTTGAGAGCAATGATTTAGGGTACCTGATAGAAGAAATTCCTAAGCAGTAAAGCATTCAAGAGATGACTTGGGTGCTGTTAAAAGCATTCCATTTTAAAAGGGAAACAGAGCATAAAAGTTCAGAAAATTTGCAGCCTGACAATGCACTAGAAAAGAAAAACCAACTTTTTTTTTTAAGAGAAACTCAAGCCAGCTGCTGAAATTTGCATAAGTAGCAAGGAGCCTAATGTTAATCCCCAAGGCCATGGGGAAAATGTTTCCAGGCCGTGTCAGAGACTTTCATAGCAGCTGCTCCCATCCCAGGCCCCAAATTCCAGGAGGAGAAAGTGGTTTCATGTGCTGGGCCCAGGGTCCCCATGCTGTGTGTAGCTTAGGGACTTGGTGCCCTGTGTCCCAGCCACTCCAGCCATGGCTGAAAGGGGCCAATGTACAGCTCAGGCTGTGGCTTCAGAGGGTGGCAGCCCCTAACCTTGGCAGCTTCCACTTGGTTTTGAGCCCAGGGGTGCACAGAAGTCAAGAAATGAGGTTTGGGAACCTCTGCCTAGATTTCAGAAAGATGTATGGAAACTACTGAATGCCCAGCAAACATTTGCTGTAGGGACAGGGCCCTCATGGAGACCCTCTGCTAGGGCAATGTGGAAGGGAAATGTGGGGTTGGAGCCCCCACACAGAGTCCCTACTGGGGCACTGCTTGGTGGAGCTGTGAAAAGAGGGCCACCATCCTGCAGACCCCAGAGTGGTAGCTCCACTGACAGTTTGCACCGTGCACCTGGAAAAGCTGCAGACACTCAATGCCAGCCCATGAAAGCAGCCAGGAGGGAGGCCGTACCCTGCAAAGCCACAGGGCGGAGCTGTCCAAGACCATGGGAACCCACCTCTTGCATCAGTGTGACCTGGATGCCTGACCTGCTGTCAAAAGAAAATAATTTTGGAGCCTTAAATTTTGACTGCCCTGCTGGATTTCTGACTTGCATGGGCCCTGTAACCTCCTTGCTTTGGTCAATTTCTCCCATTTTGTATGGCTGTATTTACCCAATATGTGTACTCTCATTGTATCTAGGAAGTAACTAGTTTGCTTTTGATTTTACAAGCTCATAGGTAGAAGGAACTTGCTTTGTCTCAGGTGAGACTTTCAACTGTGGACTTTGGGTTAATGCTGAAATGAGTTAAGACTTTGGCGGACTGTTGGGAAGGCATGATTGGTTTTGAAATGAGAAGACGTAAGATTTGGTGAAGCCTGGCGGAATGATATGGTTTGGCTGTGTCCCCGTCCAAATTTCAACTTGAATTGTATCTCCCAGAATTCTTACGTGTTGTAGGAGGGACCCAGAGGGAGGTTATTGAATCATGGGGGCTGGTCTTTCTGATGTTATTCTTCTCATAGTGAATAAGTCTCACGAGATCTAGCGAGTTTATCAGGGATTTCCGCTTTTGCTTTTTCCTCAGTTTTCTCTTGCTGCTGCCATGTAAGAAATGCCTTTCATGTCCCACCATGATTCTGAGGCCGCCCCAGCCAAGTGGAACTGTAAGTTCAATTAAACCTCTTTTATTCCCAGTTTCGGGTATGTGTTTATTAGCAGAGTGAAAATGAACTAGTACAAGAGTTTGGCTACAATACTAAAGGCACAATTCATTAAAGAAAACTGGGGAATTACACTTTATTAAAAAATGTTTTGTCAATATAATATTACAAAAAGAAAACACACAGAATATATTTCAAAACACATATTTGATTAAAAAACTATACAACATATAAAGTTAAAACTAAATAGTAATAATAATAATAAACTACCCAATTAAAAATTTGCAACAAAGATGTATTACATTTAAGCATATGAAAAGCAATAGTTTTAATTAGAAAAAAGCAAATTAAAATTATAATGAGATACCACTACATATGTTAATTTTTAAAAAATAATATTTAATGCTGGTAAGAATACAGAGCAAGAGAAACTGACATTAATTTTAATGAAAATACAAAATGATACATCACTCTGGAAAATAATTTGGCAGTCATTTTTACAAACCCTATCATAGACATACCACATAATCTAGTCATCACACTTTTAGTTATTTATTCATATGATTTGAAAACTTATAACTAAGCAAAATCTGCACATGAATGTTTATAATTGCTTTATTTATAATTGCCCCAAGTTAGAAGCAAACAGTATATCCTTGCATAGGTGAAAGGCAAACAAATGATGGTACATCCATTCAGTGGAACATTATCAACAAAAAGGAATGCTCTACCAAGCCTGTCAAAGGTATGCCAACTACATGCTGCCTATAAGAAATTCACTTCTCCTATAAGACACAAACAGATTTAAAATAAAGAAAATAAAAAGATAGTCAATGCAAATGGAAATGAAGAAGGAGTAGCTATATCAGACAAAATAGATTTCAAGACAAAAGCTGTAATGAAACAAAGAAGGTTATTATATAATGATAAGGGAGTTGATTCAGCAAGAGGATTTAACAATTATAAATTATGCACTCAACACTGGAGCACCCAGATATATAAAACAAATCTTATTAGAGCTAGAAAAAGAGAGACAGGCTTTAATAGGATAATGAGGGAGGATTTCAATACCTCACTTTCAGCACAGGACAGATCATTCACACAGAAAATCAATAAAGAAACATGGACTTAATCTGCAATATAGACCAAATGGACCTAGCAGACGTTTACAGAACATTACATCCAACAGCTGCAGAATAAGCATTCTTCTCCTCAGTACATGAAACATTTTCAAGGATAGAAAATATTTTAGGCCACAAAACAAGTCTCAAATATTTTTAAATAAATTATATTATGTATTTTTAACACAGAAAAACTAGAAATTAACAACAAGAGAAACATTGGGATCTACAGAAACACATAAATATTAAACAATATGCTCCTGACCAACCATTAGACGAATGAAGAAACTAGAGAGAATATTAAAATATTTTGAACACAAATAAAAATGGAAACACAATATATTAAACCTGTGGAATACAGCAAAATCAATACTTAGAGGGAAGTTTATAGAAATAAATGCCCAAATGAAAAAGTAATAAAAATTTCAAACAAATAACCAAAAGATGCATTTTAAATAATTCTAAAAGAGTAAACTAAACCTAAAATTATAAAACTAAAAGAAATAAGAAAGATTAGAGCATAAGTAAAAAAAATAGAGACTATAAAAGTGTAATGATCTACAAAATGAAAACTTGGGTTATTTTGAAGGATAGCACTGACAAATCTTTAGCCTGATGAATCAAGGCAAAAGGGGAAAGAGCCTCCTAAAATATCAAAATCAGAGGTGAAAAAGGTGGCAGTACAATTGATACCACAGAAATTCAAAGGATCATTTGACACTATTACAAGCAACTATATGCCAAAAAATAGGAAAACCTAGAAGTGGATAAATTACTAGAAGCATACAACCTACCAAGATTGAAACATTAAGAAATTCAAAACCCGAATAGACCAATAATAAGTTACAATATATAAGCAGTAATAAAATGTTTCTTATCAAAGAAAACCTCAGGATGTGATGCCTTCACTGCTGATTTGTATCACACATTTAAAGAATAATTAATTACAATACTACTCAAATTATTCTAAAATATTAAGGAGAAGATAAAACTTATAAATTTATTCTATGAATCCAGTATTACCCTGTTATCAAAATCAGATAAAAAAACACACAAAAAAAAGAAAATTATAAGCCAATATATCTGGTGAACATAGATGCAAAAATCCTCAACAAAATGCTAGCTAATTAATTTTAACAATGCAATAAAAAGACAATTAATCATAATCAAATGAGATTCAACTCAGCGATGTGGGAATGGTTCATCACATGCAATCAATAAATGTAATACATCATATCAACAGAATAAAGGACAAAAACATGATCATTTTAACTGATGCTGGAAGCTTTTTCAATGAATTTCAGTGAAATTCAACGTAACTCCATGATAAAACCTCTCAAAAAACAGGGTATAGAGAGAATATACCTCAACACAATAAAAGCTGTATACAAAAAGCACATAGCTAGTATTACACTGAATGCGAGAAACAAAAAACCTTTTCTCCAAGATCTGGAACAAGACAAGGATGCCACCTTTTACCATTTTTATTTAAAATGATACTGGAAGTCCTAGCCAGAGCAATTAGGCAAGAGTAAGAAATAAAAGGTATCCAAATTGGAAAGGGGAAGTTTAAATTACCCTTGTTTGCAGGTGATATGATCTTGTATTTAAAATAACTCAGTAACTTCACAAAGCCTGTTAAAACTAATGAACAAATTCAGTAAAATTGCAAAATACAAAATCAACATACAGAAAGCAGTAGCATTTTTCAGCCAGGTCCGTGGGTGTTCTTCTGTATTCCCAGCTACTCAGGAGATTGAGGTGGGAAGATTGCTTGAGACCAGGAGTTCAAGGCTGCAGTTAGCTAAGATCACAACACTGCAATCCAGCCTGGGTGACAGAGCAAGGCCTTGTCATTATTAGAAAAATAAAAACAGTACTGTTTCTATTTGCCAACAGCAAAGAATTTTAAAAAACACTAAAGTAATCATATCTATAGCTATAATATGAATAAAATAAAATACTTAGGAATAAACTTAACCAAAAACAGATAAGATCTATACAATCAAAACTATAAATATTAATAAAAAATGAAGAAGACATCAAAAAATGGAAAGATATTCCATGTTCATGGATTGAAAGAATCAATATTGTCAAAAGGTCCATAGTACTCAAAGAATCTACGGATTCAATATAATCCCTATTAAAATACAATGACATTTATTCCCAGATTTTTTTTTTAATTCTAAAATTTTTATGGAACAACAAAACACCCAGAATAGCTAAAGCCATCTTCACCAAAAAGAACGAAACTGGAGGAATTACATTATATAACTTCAAAGTATACCACAATGCTCTCATAACCAAAACAGCATGATGCTGGCGTTAAAAAGAGACATGCAGACCAATGGAACAGAAGAGGCAACCCACACATAAATCCAGGATTTGCTATCAACTTATTTTTGACAAATGGGGACAAGAACATACACTGGGGAAAGGACAGTCTCTTCAATAGATAGTGACAGGAAAACTGGATATCCATAAGCAGAAGATTGAAACTAAACACTTATTTTTTTGCCATGTACAAAAATCAAATTGAAAGGGATTAAAGACTTAAATCTAAGAGCTCAAACTATAAAACTACCAGTAGAAAACATTGGGAAGCACTCCAGGACATTAGTAGGGGCAAATAATTCTTGAGTAAGCCTCATAAGCAAAGGCAATCAAAGTAAAAATGGACAAATGTGATCACATTAAATTAAGAAGCTTCTGTACAGCAAAGGAAACAATTAACAATGTGAACAGACAATCCAGGGGATAAGAGACAATATTTACAAACATCATGGCTGTTGAAGGATTAATAACCAGAATATGTAAGGAGCACAAACAACTCAATAGGAAAAACATCTGATTGAAAAATGGGCAAAATATCTAAATAAACGTTTCTCAGAAGACATACAAATGGCCAACAGGTTTATGAAAAAAAAATACTCAGCATCACTAATTATCAGGAAAATGCAAATCAAAAATAAAATGAGATATCTTTTCACCCCAGTGAATATGGATTCTATCCGGAAGATAGTCATTAATTAAAGCTGGTAAGAATATGGAGAAGGGGGATCCCTTGTACACTATTGTGGGAATGCAAATTAATAATGCCGCTGTGGAGAACAGTATAAACCTTCTTTAAAAAACTAGGTATGGAACTAACGTATGATCCAGCAATCCCACTGCGGGCTATATCCCAAAAAAGGAGAAAAATAGTATATTAAAGGGGTATTTGTATTATCATGTTTAATGCAGCACTATTCACCACAGCCAAGCTACAGAAGCAACCTAACTGCCCATCGGTGGATGAATGGATACAAAAAATGGGATCGATATACACAATGAAATATGAAATCTTGTCATTTGCAACAACATGGATGAAACTGGAGGACATTACGTTGAATGATATAGAGACAAACGTCCTATGTCTCACTTATACATGTGGGAGCTAAAAAATATATAAACATATAAAATTGAGAGTGGATTAATTATTGACAGATAATGGGGAGGGTAAAGGAGAGGTGGAGATAGATTGGCAATGTTTCATGAGTATAAAATACAGTTAGATAAATAAGATCTAGTAATGGTAGTACATTAGGGTGACTACAGTTAACTACAACTTATCATACATTTTAAAATAACAAATATAGTGAATTTGGAATGTTTTTAATATAAAGAAATAATAAAGCCTTGACATTATTTCTACTCCAGTACTCTTATTGGATCATTACACGTTGTATGACTGTATCAAAACATCACATGTGCCCATAAATATATACAGCTATTATGTACTCATAAAAATTAAATAAAAACATTTAAATATAAAAAAGTTATGGATGACTTTTGAATGCATATTAATAGGTAAAATAACCAGTTGGAAAAAAGTGATATACTATATGATTCCACTTATGTGATATTCTGGAAGGGGTAAAATTATAGAGACAATAAAATGATGAGCAGTTGGCATGGTATCAGCAGAGAGAGTTGGTTAAACAGGTGAAACACAAGGGTTTTTTTTTTGAGGTCATAAAACTATTTTCTATGATATTATAATCGTATTTTTTGACACTATGCATTTGTCAAAGCTCATAGACCTTTACAAAGTGTATAATACATAATAATTTTAAAAATTAATAATTTAGAATTTCAGGGAATCATAAAACTCTTAGAGCAGAGACAAACAAAATAGGAAAAACAGAAGAAAGAATAAGTAATACCAAAACATGTATCTTTGAAAAGATCAACAAAATTAACAAACATAGATAACAAAAAAAGAGAAGATCTAATGTACTAAAATCAGAAATGAAAGTGAGAATATGCTACCTAAAATATTTAAAAGGATAAGAGAATACTGAAATATTAAAGATCAATAAATTATGTAATTTTGATAAAATGGAAAAGTTCCTAGAAATACAAAAAAAAACCAGCAAAACTGCACCAAAAATAAAAATCTTAACACAGCTAAACAAACTTAAATCATTAATCGATACATTCTAACAAATAAAAGCCCAGGGTGACCTGGTTTCAATGGTGAATTCTACTAACAATTTAAAGACTTTACAACAATAATTTCTAAACTTTTCCAAAAAGTAGAAAAAGGAACACTTTCTAACTTATTATTTAAAGATAGAGGTACTCTGACACCACAGCGAGATAAACACCAACTGAAAGAAAAAAATTATAGAAAAACATACCTTATGAATATAGATGCAAAAATAACTGCCCCCAAAACAGTAAACTAAATAAAGGAGCATATTTACAGGATCATACATTATGGCTAAATGGGATTTATCTGAGGAATTCAAGAATCTTTCAGCATATAAAAATCAATTTATTAATAGATTGAAGGAATAAAATGAATGATTATTTTAATCATTCATTGATTCAGAAAAAGCATTTCACAAAATTTAACATCATTTCATAATAAAAACACTCAACTATCAAGAAATAGAGGTCCTAAAGTATCCACAGAGACTATTCAAGCTAATAAACAAATTCAGCAAGGGGTCAGGATACAAGATCAACACTCAAAAATCAGGTGTATTGCTATACAATAGCAATAAAAATCTGAAGTTGAAATTATGAAAACAATTTCATTTACAGTAGCATAAAATGTTAAATGCTTAGGAATGAATCTAATCAATTAGGTTCAAGCCTTGTACAATAAACAAACTCCTGTTAAAATTAAGAATATCTATTAAATGGAAGGGCATTCTTTGTTAAAGAATTTTAAGACTCAGTGTTAAAATGGCAATATTACCCAAATATCTAAAGATTCAATGAAATTATATCAAATCCAAACTGCTGTATTTGCAGAAATAGAAAAGCTGATGATCTAATATTGATATGAAATTGTAAGGAAGCAGGAACTGTCAAAACGTTTAAAAAAGAACATATTGAAGGTCTCAAACTTTGTAATTTCGAAACTTACTACAAAATAACAAAACTATGGTGCTGTCAGGTTTGCGCAAACGTTATTGTGTTTTTTGCTATTACTTTTAATGACAAAAATTGCAATTGCTTTTTAACCAAACTAATAATGTAATAAGAATGGTTAATAATAATAAACCAAACAAAGAATAAACATATAGATGAATTAAATAAGATGTAGGGTCCAGAAATAAACTCATAAATCTATTATCAATTTATTTTTGACAATGATACAAACAAAATTGAATGGGAAAAAATACTATCTCAATAAATATTTCTGAAATAACTGGATATCTGTGTAAAAAGAATTAAGTTAAACCTCTACCTCATGTTATGTATAAAAATTAACCAAAAATGTATCAACAACATACAGGTAACAGTTAAAGCTATAAAATATCAGAAGTAAACATAGGGGTGATTTTTCATAACTTCCAATTTACTGATGAATTCTTCAATATGACACCAACAGCAAAACCATCAGAAGACAAATATAAATAAAAATTTTTTCAAAATATATTTTGTTTATTAAGGTACATTATCAAGAAACTGAAAAGACAATCTACAGAATAAGAAAATATTTGCAAATTATATATCTTATAAGTCTATTGTCGTATATTTATGATCATTGCTGAATGGACAAACAACCCCATAAAATAGTGGGCAAAATATTTAAATATGTGTTTTTGTGTAGCAAATACACAAATGTTCAAAATCACAAGAAAAGATCCTCAACATCGTTAATTATTTAAAACATACAAAACCACAATAGAGTACCACTTTATATCCCCTAAGATGGCTTATTGAATATTGAAAATTGCACTTGGTGAGAAATTGGAATCCTCTTACATTGCTGGTGGAAATGTAAAATGGTATAGCTGCTGTAAACTACAGCTTAGCGATTCCTAATGAAACTAACCATCGAGTTAACATATGAAACAGGAATTGCACTTCTATGTACAGATGCTTCACGATATAATGGGGTTACATCCTGATAAATCCATCTCAGGTCAAAAATATTTTAAGTGAAAAATGTCTTTAATGCTCTGATAAACTGCATCGTAAATTTGTAAGTAAATTTGTAAATTTATAAATCAGACCATTATAAATCAGGGATTGTCTGTACATAGATCTAATAATTTAAAATAGTTACTCAAAATAAAAATTTGCCCAAATATTCATAGCAGCACTAGTGTAACAATAACAAAATGGTGGAAACAACTCGAACGCCCATCGGTGAATGAATGGATAAACAAATTGCAGTGTATCCATACAATGGTGATGGTTGTACAACATTGAGAATGTCCTAGATACTGTTAAATGATATAATTAATTTTATGTTAACTGTATTTTACCTCACTTATTGGGGAAAATTATATATATTACTTTTTTATAAACTAGCACATAAAATAAAAATAATATGAAAATTAAACGGTGGCCTTCTTGGCGTTCCTGTCTCCTCTATATGAGTAAGTCTCTAGGTGTGTAATACCTTTTTCCTATAAGGACATCAGTTGTCAAATTTAACTTCCATTCAAATACAGTAGGAATTCAATTTAAATGCATCTGGAAAGTCTCTATTTCCAACCTCAAACTCCCTGGTTCAAGTAATTCTCCTGCCTCAGCCTCCTGAGTAGCTGGGATTACAGGCACCTGCCACCACGCGCAGCTAATTTTTGTATTTTTAGTAGAGACGGGGTTTCACCATGTTGGCCAGGATGGTCTCATCTCCTGACCTCACGATCTGCCTGCCTTGGCAATACAATATTTTCATAGCTAGGATCGCCATATTTCTATCTTTGGTGAACTTTCAGTGCGTTCCCTTTGCATATTTGTCGTGTGAGTGTTTAGCTTTCCTCCTCCTTCTTCTTTTTCTTTTCTTCTTCAGCGTTTTTCTTTTTCTTTCTTATACTGGAAGTGCCAATACATATTTTCTATAATATACTGATATTTTTCTGTACAAAATAAATCATTTGTATAAATTTTGAGTGCTAAATTTTATCACCTCATATATCAAAAATATTTTCAATTAAACTTTGACATGTTGTGCATTTTAAGCTGCATTCTGATTTTGAATATGTTTAAATATTTTTAAAACTTTAGCAATTTTATATACATATATTAATTTTTATTTTAAGTTCAGGGGTATAAGTGCAGGTTTGTTGCACAGGTAAACTTGCATCATGGTGGTTTGTTGTACATGGCATCACCCAGGTGGGTTTTAAGCCTGGTACGCATTAGTTATTTTTCCTGATCCTCTCCCTCCTCCCACCCTCCACTCTCCGAAAGACCCCACCGTGTGTTGTTCTCCTCTATGTGTCCATGTGTTCTCAACATTTAGCTCCCATTTATACATGTAGTATTTGGTTTTCTGTTCCTTTGCTAGTTTGCTAAGGATAATGGCCTCCAGCTCCACCCAGGTCTCTGCAAAGGACATTATCTCATTCTTTCTAAATATGTCTTTTTCCTACATTATTTACTGCATTTATTCTCTTGAATTTATCACTTTTTACTTCACTTGGATTAAAGTTTTTACTTTTTTTTAACTTCACATAAAAAAATTTAAATATTCAGTGCTACACAATAAAATTTAGTTTCCTGATCTTCCTTATTTCCACTGGATTAATACATTTTTAAATAAATCATCTTATATTGTCCTATTTGAAAATGTTCTTTATATAAGGAAGCATTTCACACTTAACATAATTAGAATAAACTCCTTTTGGAAATGGGGTCTTGTCACTCAGGGTAGAGTACAGGGGTGTGGTCATGGCTCCCTGCAGACTTGATCTGCTGGGCTCAAGCGATACGCCCACCTCAGCCACCTGAGTAGCTGGAATGATAGCTGGAACTACAGCTACACAACACCAGATATCCTGGTTAAATTGTTTTTCAACATTTTTTGTAGAGACCAGTGTTTCATTATGTTGCCAAGGCTGGTGTTGAACTCCTAAGCTCAAGTGATGCCTCCCAAAGTCCATGTGAGGTTCCGTGCCCAGCCTAAATTTGCTTTTAAGAGACAAGGAGAATCACCTAAAACTGAGGTAGCACTTTAAGGGTCGAGTTGGTGCTTCTGAAAACAAACTAACAAAAACAAAAACAAAACAAAACAACAACAACAAAAAAAGAGACACATCACAGTCTACCTATCTCATCTGTGTAAAAGTTTTTTTTTCCACAGAAACCCATAAAGATCACAGTTTTCTGTTATTTATAAGGTGCTTATCTTTGAAGATCTTTAAAGATTTCTACTAATGCTCATTTAATAATAAGAAGAAAGAAAAATAATATTGTATGGAGTAAAAAAATGGCATTTATTTTTAAGCGAAAATTAAAGTTCAAAAATTTGCAAACACTACTTATATAATGGCTATGACTAAAACAAGAGAAGCTGAAGAAAGTTGATGCCACTTAAAAGTTCGGAGGGTTATGTCACCAATAACATCATCACTGAGGAACTGATACCAGACAAACTATATCAGCAGATATTACAAGCTTGCATCAATTAACAACAACAAAAAAAACTTTGCCTTTCCAATAATTTTATAAAATAAAATTTATTGCATTTTATATTATTGTTTCTTAGCCCTCAGGTCCTTTCTAACAATTATTTCACTCACAAGGAAAATTATTATGAAATTCTTCAAATGCGTAATTGCCTTAATGTTAAATCAATACACAGAAAAATGAGTAAAAACATTGTAAATAGTAAAACAACAAAAACAGTAATATTTCAAATAATGTTACACACAACTCTGGTTATTATAAACTTACTCTAACCCTGATCAAACCAAGAAGGCTCTTTGCCAACTCATGTAATACTATCAGTTTAATAAAGTATATTGGCACTTATGTCTTAATGAACATCTTTCTAGAACGTTAAATCCACTTATTTTCTCATTGTTTCTTTCCAAATTTATGTCCAAAAAATATTTTGTCTTTATCCTTGAATGTATCAATTTTTATCAGAATAGAAAAAAAATAAACCATAAGAAGGGAATCATATAATCATATGATGATAAAATTTACACACAGACACACAGAGAAAGCAGAGCAAGTCCGAGAGAGAGAGAGAGAGAGAGAGAGAGAGAGAGAGAGAGAGAGGAATGCCTTGGAGTTAAAAAATAGCCTTTTTAGAATGTGTTTAGGATGACAAAATTCCTTGCTTTAGAAAAACTTAACTTCATTGTTTGAGATTGTCTTAAAATATAGACTTTGAGGAGAAACTGCTTTATCCTCCAATAGGATATAAGCTTGTTAGATTAATTTGTTCTCTGAATGCAGAAAATGGCAACCTTAGTGTGTAGACAAACTGCAACCCAACTATGTCCATAAAAGGCAAATACATCAACACATTATCCCCAAATAAGGTAAATGCTGAGCTGTAGCCAATGAAGCCGTTTCTGTAATGCCTGCCCGTGTTGCTGGGTGGATCTCTCTGAAACTCTCCTGGTGAATACGAAGTTGGTGCATTGTGTAAGTTTTAAGTCATGTATTAAAAAATGTGAAAACAAACATACCATAAAATGATAATTATAATCAGCAAAGGGGAGTGGTATTTTAATTCTCTTTACAGAAGTATCAGCAGCATTAGCAACGGCTGTGTACCTCTTAGAAATGAAGAAACCCAAACCCATCTCAAACTTATTAAATCGAAGTTTCATTAGCAAATTTTTCAGCTTATTTCTCTCCATATAAGGGATTGAGAAGCATTGGTTTAAAGTAGTTTTCATGTCAATTTAGGGAGAATGTCCTAACTCTTTTTTTTATTTATTCATTTATTTATTTATTGTAGAGATGGTGATATGTTTTGGATCTGTGTCCCTGCCCAAATTTCATGTCTAATTTTAGTACCCCATGTTAGAGGTATAACCTGGTGGGAGGTGATTGGATACTGGGGGCAGTTTCTCATGGTTTAACACCATCCTGCTCCAGACATGTGAAGATGCCTACTTCCACTTTGCTTTCCACCATGAGTAAAAGCTCCCTGAGGTCTCCCCAGAAACCGATGCTGCCATGCCTTCTGCACAGCCTGCAGAACCATGAGCCAATAAAACCATTTTCCCTTATAAATTACCTAATCTCAGGTATTTCTTTATAGCAGTGCAAGAATGAACTAATACAGGCAAGACCTCACTATGTTTCCCAGACTGGTTTGGAATTCCTGCGCTTCAAGCCATCCTCCTGCCTCAGCCTCTCAAAGTGCTGCTGGGATTACAGCAGTGAATCACAGTGCCTGACCCTAATGGTCTGAGTTTAAGGTGAGAACATTTGACAAATTTGTATCCTGGTCAAGTGTTTGCTCAACAATGTAGAGTAGGTAAGTTAGAGTTTACCAGATTTGGGATTTTATGTGTAGGCTGCCATGCAAGTGTGGAAGTCAGTGACTTAGAGAATTTGATTTAGAAATATTTCTGAAATTTTAAAGTGTTTTGGGTGGCATAATATTGGGGAACAGGAGCTTATATTACCTTTGTCAGTGGGATAGGAGATAGTAGACACACCTCATGGATAGGTGGCTGTTGAGACTTCAGGTGTGGTATAGAAATTGGTGATAAAATGTTTGTTGGCTGAAAGTGGTTAAGAAAAGAAAATTTGAAAGGAATGTTCAGGAGAATTAAACCTTAGCAGGAAGATCAAATGGATGTGGTAGTCACCAAATATGGTAATAGAAAAGGGGAATAAAAGAAAACAAGTTAGGTGCTAAAATTATCAAACTATGAAGGGCATTTCTGGGATATCAATGTATAGTTTTTTTTTTAATTTTTGAGCAGGACCCTAATTGTTTTATATTAAAAGGTATTTGTGCAATGAAGAACCTAATGTGTTAATACCACAACTAAAGATTTGGGGGCCTGTCTGAGCTTTTTCTTTCCTTTTTATAACACCCTCTCATTTTATTGTAATTTTAAATGGCCTAGGGAATATAGTTGATTTTCTTAAAGCACAATTAAAAACATGTTTCTCTCTCTCTCTCTCTCTCTCTCTCTCTCTCTCTCATATCAACCTATGATCTACCTTTGTATCTATCTAGGGTTTTTTGGTTATTTGCTTTTAAAAAATTAAAATTGTAATATACATCTTTCTTCCCAATTAACAACATCTTAAATATTCCCCTAGGTCAATAAGTGTAGATTGATATAATGAGTCAGTAGATTAATAACTTTCAATTATATATATATATATATATATATATGTATATTTATATATACAATATTATTGAAACATCCTTTTGATGGGCATTTAAATTGTTTTCTGCCTGTACGTATTTTTTATTTTTATGGTTATTATTGGTACAAAAAGTAAGGATATTGGAAAATACATTCTTATATCTGGGTGATATTTTTCCTATAGCATATATGTCTTTATTTGAGATTTAAATATATTTTATCAGTGGCTATAGCTATATTACCTTCCCCATAGATACCAGAAACTGATAGTTTCAACAGCATTCACCTCATAAAAGTACCAATGTGCTCAATTCCTTGGCAAGACTGAATAACTTTAAAAATTTTAATTAAAAAAAATTGTCAATTTTATGGGTAAAAAGTATATCTACTTGTTATGTTACTTCATATTATTATAACTATTACAATTATAACAGTTACACTTCCCATTGGTTTTGCTTTTCCATTAATTGCTCTTTGGAACTACACTTGCTTTTTCTAAGTGGTTTGCCTTTTTCTTACCAACTAGTATTATTTTTTATATTGGGGTTATTAACTGTCTGTCATTTATGATGCAAAGATTTTTCTCATTTTAGTCCTTATGCTTTCTTCTAATTGCTTTTTTATTGCTTTAACTATAGATTGCAATAACTTAGCAGATATGGTTATCATTTTCATTTTATTACAGGTTTAAAGTCAGCTACATTTATAATTAATTTTAATCACACTTTTATATTACAAAAAATATCCTACTACTATTTTGTTTTGCTTGTATTTTAAAAATATTTAGTTTTTTCAAATTTTGATTATATTTTAGTTAAGGACCCAAGGGGTTTTGTAATTTCACATTAGCAATTAAGTTTTCCAAATTGCTTACATTTGCCTTTTATGATATATATTATCTATAGGAACACGGCATTTTGAAACATCTCATCTATTTCATTGATTATGCTTTTGTTCTTTGTATTTCATTTTTGTGTTTACAGATTTTTTTAAAATATCATCTTTCTCTATTGTTATTTTATCATCCTTTTGGCTCTCTATGTTTTCAAAATAAATTTTGACCATTTGCCTTATTTTATTCTACATTTAGCAATTGTACCTACTTTCCCTTCTCAAATTACGAGATTTTCTTTTTTAGCCAGAATCATTTCATGTAACAGCCTTTAGCTACAAGCACATTCTCAGACTTTACATTCAAGATAAGTAAAATAGAGGAAGTTAGTTATGCGTATTGGGTCAGCCAGTGATAACAGTGGAATTCTTAGTAATCCAAGTTCCTATTTATTATTTGTTTTATCACCCATCTACCCATGTATCTATCTACCTATTTATTGTCTATCAATTCTGAAAATATCATTGCGATTTTATCACTGAGTTGATTACATTGTTAATTTGAAAAGCTGGGGAAGAGAAAGAAGAGGATGATCGAGGAAAAAAAATGAATTTATTACCACTGAACTGTACACTTAAAAATGGTTCAACCATTGTGGAAGACAGTGGGGCGATTACTCAAGGATCTAAAACCAGAAATACCATTTGGCTCAGCAATCCCATTACTGGGTATATACCCAAAGGATTATAAATCATTCTACTATAAAGACACATGCATACATATGTTTATTGCAGCACTGTTCACAATAGCTAAGACTTGGAACTAACCCAAATGCCCATCAGTGATAGACTGGATAAAGAAAATGTGGCACATATACACCATGGAATACTATGCAGCCATAGAAAAGGATGAATTCATGTCCTTTGCAGGGACATGGATGAAGAGGGAATGCATCATTCTCACCAAACTAACACAAGAACAGAAACCAAACACCACATGTTCTCACTCATAAGTGGGAGTTGAACAATGAGAACATGCGGACACAGGGAGGGGAACATCACACACCGGGGCCTGTCGGGGGTTGGGGGCTAGGGGAGAGATAGCAATGGGAGAAATACTTAATGTAGATGATGGGTTGATGGGTGCAGCAAACCGCTATGGCACATGTATATCTATGTAACAAACCTGCACATTCTGCACATGTATCCCAGAACTTAAAGTTTAATAAAATTAAAAAATGAAATAAATAAATAAATAAATAAATAAATAAAATGAAATGAAATTTAAAGAGTCAAAAAAAAAGTAGTCAAGCTTGGTGGCGGGCGCCTATAGTCCCAGTTACTCTGGAGGTTGAGGCATGAGAATCACTTGAACCTAGGAGGTGGAAGTTGCAGTGAGCTGAGATAGCACCACTGCACTCCAGCCTGGGCAACAGAGTAAGACTCTGTCCCAAAAATAAATTTTAAAAAAATGATAAAGAGGGCCAGGTTCCATGGCTCACTCCTTTAATCCCAGCACTTTGGGAGGCCGAGGCAGGTAGATCACTTGAGGTCAGGAGCTCGAGACAAGCCTGGCCAACATGGTGAGACCCTGTCTCTACTACAAATACAAAAATTAGCGAGTCATGGTGGCATGAACCTGTAATCCCAGCTACTTGGGAGACTGAGGCAGGAAAATTGCTTGAACTTGAGAGGCGGAGGTTGTGATGAGCCAAGATCACACCACTGCACTCTAGCCTGGTCAACAGAGTGAGCCTCTGTCTAAGAAAAAAGTAAAGATGATAATGTGGTTGACTGTGTTCCCACCCTAATCTCAACTTTAATAGTATCTCCCAGAATTTCCATGTGTTGTGGAAGGGACCAAGAGGGAGATAACTGAATCATGGGGGCTGGTCATCCTGTGCTATTCTCATGATAGTGAACAAGTCTCACAAGATCTGATAGGTTTATCAGGGGTTTCTGCTTTTGCTTCCTCCTCATTTTTTCTCTTGCAGCTGCCATGTAAGAAGTGCTTTTCATCTCCCGCCATGATTCTGAGGCCTCCCCAGCCATGTGGAATTGTAAGTCCAATTAAACTTCCTTTTCTTCCCAGTCTCAGGTATGTCTTTGTCAGCAGTGTGAAAATGGAGTAATACAGTAAATTGGTACCAGTAGAGTGGGGCATAGCTGAAAAGATACCCGAAAATGTGGAAGCAACTTTGGAACTTGGTAACAGGCAAAGGTTGGAACAGTTTGAAGAAGACAGGAAAATGTAGGAAAGTTTGGAATCTCCTGAAGACTTGCTGAATGGCTTTGACAAAAATGCTGATAGTGATGTAAACAATAAGGTCCAGGCTGAGGTGGTCTCAGATAGTGATGAGAAACTTGTTGGGAACTGGAGAAAAGGTGACTCCTGTTATATTTTGGCAAAGAAACTGAGGGCATTTTCCCCCTGCACTAGAGATTTATGGAACTTTGAACTTGGGAGAGATGATTTAGGATATCTGGTGAAAGAAATTTCTAAGCAGCAAAGCATTCAAAAGGTGACTTGGGTGCTGTTAAAAGCATCCTAGAGCATAAAAGTTCAGAAAATTTGCAGCCTGATGATGCACTAGGAATGAAAAACCCAGTTTTTGAGGAGAAATTCAAGTTGGCTGCAGAAATTTGCATAAATAACAAGGAGCCTAATGTTAATGCCCAAGACCATGGGAAAAATGTCTCCAGGCTATGTCAGAGATCTTCATGGCAGCCCCTCCCATCACAAACCCAGAGGGCCCGAAGGAAAAAGTGGTTTCATGGGCCAGACCCAAGGTCCCCATGCTGTGTGCAGCCTAGGGACTTGGTGCCCTGTGTCCCAGCTGTTCCAGCCTTGGCTGAAAGGGGCCAATGTACAGCATGGACTGTGGCTTCAGAGGGTGGAAGCCCCAAGCCTTGGCAGTTTCCACGTGGTATTGAGCCTGTGGGTGCACAGAAGTCAAGAATCGAGGTTTGGAAGCTTCCACCTAGGTATCAGAAGATGTATGGAAACACCTGGATGCCCAGGCAAAAGTTTTCTGCAGGGATGCAGCCCTCATGCTTGGGCATGAGGGAAGGGAAATGTGGGGTCAGAGCCCCCACACAACATCCCTACTGGAGCACTGCACCGTGTGCCTGGAATAGCCGCAGACACTCAATGCCAGCCCTTGAAAGCAGCAGGGAAGGATGCTGTTCCCTGCAAAGCCACAGAGGCAGGGCTGCCCGTGACCATGAGAACCCACCTCTTGCATCAGAGTGACCTGGGTTTGAGACCTAGAGTCAAAGGAGATCATTTTGGACCTTTAAAATTTGACTGCCCCACTGGATTTTGGACTTTCGTGGGCCCTGTAACCCCTTTGTTTTGGCCAATTTCTCTGATTTGGAATGGCTGTATTTACCTAATACTTGTCCCCCCTTGTATCTAGGAAGTCACTAGATTGTGTTTGATTTTACAGGCTCATAGGCAGAAGGGACTTGCCTTGTCTCAGATGAGACTTTGGACTGTGGACTTTTGGGTTAATACTGAAATGAGTTAAGCCTTTGGGGGACTGCTGGGAAGGCATGATTGGTTTTGAAATGTGAGGACAAGAGATTTGGAGGGACCAGGGGTGGAATGATAAGGTTTGGCTGTGTTCTCACCCAAATCTCAGCTTGAATAGTATCTCCCAGAATTCCTATATGTTGTGGGAGGGACAGAGAGGGAGGTAATTGAATTATGGGACCCGTCTTTCCCATGCTATTCTTATGATAGCGAATAAATCTTATGAGATCTGATGGGTTTATCAGGGATTTCTGCTTTTGTTTCTTCCTCATTTTTCTCTTGCCGCCGCCATGTAAGAAGTGGCTTTCACCTCCTGCCATGATTCTGAGGCCTCCCCAGCCATGCGGAACTGTAAGTCCAATTAAACCTCCTTTTCTTCCCAGTCTCGGTTATGTCTTTATCAGCAGCATTAAAATGAACTAATACAGATGGTATTTTTTTCTTTTTAATGGAGTACCTATGTTAAAACAAACAAGCAAACAAGAAAACCAAAAAAGGAAAAACACTTGACAAATAGAGCTTAGATAGGCCATTAAGGGAAGGGTTCTCAGGCATAAATACCTGATATCGTAAACCATAACAAAAGACTTGCAAATACCACAACCTTGCAAAAAAGGCCATGACAACTATACACAAAAAATGCTTCTTCAAGAACACCTGTCCAGAAACTACCTGTCCAAACTCAGACTTAAACTACCCTTGTTATTGATCCTTGTACCCAAGGACAATTATCTCAAAAGAAGTATGTAATTCTCCTCATTTTTCCTTTAAAAATCTGTCTTCCTTGACCCTCATGAATACACACATAGTTTACCATGACACACATATTCCCATTGCAATGCTCTATTTTCAAATAAATATCTTTTCTTTTAGAAAAGAAAAAAATAGTAATAATTTGGAAAGTATTGCTACCTCTACAATAAGTCATTTCACATCAGAAAAAGATACACATTTATTTTTAATTTTCTTTTATGTCCCTGGATAGGTTTCTTTTTTTTCATTTGTACTCTAAAAATATTCTAATTAAATTTATTCCCATATGGCTTATATCAATATTCGCATATCATTTTTATGAGGTTTTTTCTATATATACTAACTTGTTATCATAAGAAAATAAATTACTGAAAATTTATTTTATAACCACATGCAAATGAAAATCAGTTTCACTTCACCTTTTAGCGGTTGACATATTTGGTAATTTTTACATTTTGAAAATAATTTTGACTAAATTTTAACTAACTGACCACTCCTGCTGATTCTCATATATTGATTTTTCATGATGTCTCTGAATTTTATTCCAATCACTCTGCATGTTTAAAGACTCGATATTTTATATTGCCCTTTTATTTCTCTTTATTTGTCCTAATTACAATAATATTAGATACTTTTTTTAGTGGTCTACTGTCACCTTTTCTAGATTCTGATACCATAATTTCCATTACTGCATGATCATATTTTTCTATATCCTTGCTGTCTGCCAAGTTTAGAGCCTGAAATATAGCAATTTCTCTATGAATGTGGCCTAAATCATTGACTAAACTTAAATAACTTTTTTGTTTTTTCCCATACTCTCTATTGACTCTAATTCTTTTATGTTAGCTTCATATTAAAATTATAATTTTATGATTATTTTGTTATTATTTATACACCTATTACTATCTTTACTAATTCTTACAGAGTTGTTATCTATATAAACAATTATGTTAATAATCTTTGAGTTTAGTGTTCAAACAATATGTACAATTGTTTAGGTATATACATTTCAATCAATCTAAAATTTTGGTTTGATTTTGTTTTATTGCAATTCTTCTCAATAAATATACAATAAGTTTGAGAAATTTTTTAAAAAATGAATTAGCTACAAAAAGCAATATGGACTTTAAACAATGAATACATATCATTATATTTGTTTTTTGGATATAACTAGAACATTGAGGAGTAAGTCTGACAAGAATATGGTGAAAGAAAACCTATAGGAATCTCTTTCAATAAAATAAGTGTATAATAGTTAAATAAAACATAATGATGAATAAAAATTAAAAACTAACAATAAATATGAACATATATGTGTATATACATGCTTTTAATAATTTATAAACAAAAATATCAATTAATCAGAAATATCAAACATCTGAGGTTGTTGATGTTCAAATCATGAAGACTAGATTTTTAAATCGTGAATTGATAAAACAAAATAATCCAACTAAGTATCTTATTTATTACCAAATTTACAACATGTTTTACACTTAGGTCAATGAATTTGAAAACGGAGTCCAGAAAGAGATCCATATACACGTGGTCAATTAAAATTTTATTAAAGATGTCAATTTAATGCAATGAAGACAGAATGCTTATTTCAACTAATAATGCTGAAGCAACTGGATATTCCTGTAAAAATTTAAACTCTTATTTATATTTCACTTTCAGTGAGTGTTCAGTGAGAATTGCTTTCAGCAAATATTAACTTTATAAATGTCCCAAGTGTAAAAACTAACTGTAAACAATTTCTAGTAGAAATAATATAATTTTTTTAACAATTAATATGCAAATATTTATCAGACAGCACACAGAAAGTTCATAACATATTTTAATAGATAAATATCATCAAAATTAGAAATTTTACTTTTCAAAAGACATGATTAATAAAATGCAAAGGCTAGCCACATGCAGGAAGAAATGAGAGTTAAAATAAATTTTAAACTAAATAAATAAAAAGACAAGAACAAAAAACAAAACTTGGAAGTCACATTATAAAAGATACAGAGAGCAAAAAAAAACAACACAAGAATGTATTCTTGACATTTTTACTCATTAGAAAAATGCAAATAAGACTACAAGAATATGCTATTGCAAGACTAAAATGAAATGTAAACAAAACAACCCAGCAAAAACAACTAGAGCAACAATAATGAATCCCCACTGCCAATAATAAGTGTTGATGAACATTCAGAGTAGAGTGACTGAACTCGCATCCATCGCTGGTGGGAATATACCATCCCTCTGAAAAACAATTGGCAGTCTTATTAGCATCAGTTTAACGTATGACTCAGTGATACATTGCTAGGTATTTACTGAAAAGAAACAAAATCACATATCTGTGTAAAGATATGTATATAAATATTTATAGTGGTTTTATTCATAATAGCCACAAACTGGAAACAACCCATATGCCTATCAATTGAAAAATGAATAAAAATATGTGATTGATAGGTAAATTCCACAGGATGAAAAGCTACTTGGCAATAAAAGAATGTTCTACATAAATACATAGCATTAGGTTGAATGAAATAAGACAGAAACAAAAAAATACATATTGTACAATTGTATAATTAATTTTCTATATGACATTCTAGACAAAGCAACAAAGCAAAGCTTTTAAATCTATAATGAGACTGGGTGCAGTGGCTCATGCATGTAATCCCGGCACTTTGGGAGGCTGAGGTGGGAGGATCACCTGAGGTCAGGAGTTTGAGACCAGCCTGGCCAACATGGTGAAACCCCATCTCTACTAAAACTACAAAAATTAGCCTGGTGTGGTGGCACACGCCTGTATTCTCAGCTACTCAGGAGGTTGAGGCAAGAGAATTGCTTGAACCCGGGAGGTGGAGGTTGCAGTGAGTCAAGATCATGCTACTGTACTCTAGCCCAGGTTACAAGAGCGAAACTCTGTCTCAAAAAAAAAAAACCTAAATAAATAAAAGAAAAATAAATCTATAATGATAGAAAGCAGGTGTGATTACACAAGGTCAAGGTAAGGAATGATTGCTAAGAATATTTTAGGAGTGGTTAATGGCAATTTTCTATATTTTGGTTGTGGTGCTAGTTATGCTAGTGTATATTTTTATCAAAATTTATCAAATTAAGCATTAAGTGGTGCATCTTTATATTTAATTTTTACATCTCTAAAGTTTATTTAAAATGTGCTACAATTACTCAATTACTTTTAGGCTATTTTCGGAGAATGAAAACATTTTAATTTTTAAATCCTACTTTATTGTTCAAATCATTTAAGCACTCACTGACATCTGGCTTTGGTAGAAAGAAATGAGACTTATTTATAAGGGAAAGATACAGAAACAAATAAAATGTTTTGACATCACTGTCATTCTTCTACTCTGGGGCTTAACTTAATTGGAATGGACCTGGTTCATAGTCGGTTTTGTCTTTGACTGCTTATATATGCCATGAATCATTATACCATTTTAAAAATAAGTCTTAATTTTATTAGCTACATCTTCAATATAAATAGGGTGATCATATATGCTTTTGTGAGTGAAACAGAGATGGTTTAAATAAGTAACCCTGGCACACATTTTTGATGAGCATGTATGCATATTCCATAAACATACTGGAAATTGATAAAGCAGAAAATCATGAATCTGCCCAATGAGCATACTTTTGAAAATTTTAATGCTATAACTTTACAAAGCTAACTTCTCAATACATCTTCTTCTTTGAACATATTATATCTGAGGTTGTATGGTTTTGGATCTACAGAAAAGGTATATAAATACATTTTCTTAATACTAACAGAGTCACACACATGCATCACCTCACACCTGTTAGAAAATATCATCAAAGAGCCAAATGATAAAAAGTGTTGGCATGGATGTGGAAGAAAGAGAATCCTTGTACACTGTTAGGGTTATTGTAATTCTGGCACAGCCATTATGGAAAACAGTATCTTCCTCAGTCTTTAGAAGTATTTTTCTCCATCTTCATTTTAGATTCAGGGAATACATGAGCAGTTTTGATATATGCATATATTGCATCTTTCTGGGGTTTGATGTACAAATTATTTCATCACCCAGATAGTGAGCAGAGTACTTGATAAGTAGTTTTTCAACCTTACCCTCCTTCAATTTTCCACCCTTAAGTAAGCCCAAGTGTCTACTGTTCCCCTCTTTAGGTCTGTGTGTACTCAATATTTAGCTCCCATTTATATTTGAGAAAATGTGTTTTTGATTTTCTGTGTTGATTTCATTAGGATAATCGCCTTCAATTACATCCATGTTGCTGCAAAGAACATGACCTCAGTCTTTTTATGACTGTACTGTATTCCATGATGTATATGTATCACATTTTTTAAATCCAGTCCACCATTAATGGGCATGGTATTAGTCTGTTTTCATACTGCTATAAAAAGCTGCCAGAGACTGGGTAATTTATAAAGGAAAGAATTTAACTGACTCACAGTTCATCATGGCGGGGAGGCCTCAGAAAACTTACAATCATAGCAGAAGGCAAAGGGGAAGCAAGGCACCTTCATCACAAGGTGGCAGGAAGGAGAAATGCCGAGCAAATGGGGAGGAGCCCTTCGTACAACCATCAGATCTTGTGAGAACTTACTCACTATCATGAAAACAGCATAGGGGAACCAACCCCGTTATTCAATTACCTCGACCTGGTCTCCACCTTGATACATGGGGATTATGCGGATTACAATTCAAGATGAAATTTGGGTGAGAACACAAAACCTAACCGTATCAGGCATCTAGGTTGATTCCATGTCTTTACTATTGTGAATAGTACTGTGATGAACATACTTGTGTGTGCGTCTCTATGGCAGAATAATTTATATTCCTTTGGGTATATACCAAGTAATAGGATTGCTGGGTCAAATTATAGTTCTGTTTTATGTTCTTTGAGTATTCTCCAAACTGCTTTCCACAGTGGCTGAAATAATTCACATTCCCACCAGCACTGGATATACATTCCCTTTTCTCTGCAACCTCACCAACATCTATTACATTTTGTCTTCTTAATAATAGCCCTTATGACTGGTGTGATAGTAATCCATTGTGGTTTTGATTTGCATTTCTCTAATAATTAGTGATCTTGAACATTTTTTATATGCTTGTTGGCAACATGTATGTCCTCATTAAGAAGTGTCTGTTAATTTCCTCTGCCCATTTTTAATGAAGTTGGTTTTTGCTTGTTGATTTAATTTCATTCCTTATAGATCTGCATATTAGACCTTTGTCAGAGGCAGAGTTTGCAAATATTTATTTTATCATTCTATAGATTGTCTGTTTACTCTGTTGATAGTTTCTTTTGCCGGGCAGAAGCTCTTTAGTTTTATTAGATCTCACTTGTCAATTTTTGTTTTTGTTGCAATTGCTTTTGGAGTCTTCATCCTGAAATCTTTGCCAAGGCCTATGTCCAGAATGCTATGTCCTAGGCTTTCTTCTAGGGCTTTTATAGTTTTAGGTTTTAAATTTAAGTCTTTAATCCATCTTGAGTTGAGTTTTGTACATGATGAAAGAAAGTGGTTCAGTTTCCATTTTCTGCATATGGCTAGCCACTTCTCCAAGCATCATTTATTTTTTAAATTTTATTATTATTATTATTATACTTTAAGTTTTAGGGTACATGTGCACAATGTGCAGGTTTGTTACATATGTATACATGTGCCATGCTGCTGTGCTGCACCCATTTACTTGTCATTTAGCATTAGGTATATCTCCTAATGCTATCCCTCCTTCCCCCCACCCCACAACAGTCCCCGATGTGTGATGTTCCCCTTCCTGTGTCCATGTGTTCTCATTGTTCAATTCCTACCTATGAGTGAGAACATGCGGTGTTTGGTTTTTTGTCCTTGTGATAGTTTGCTGAGAATGATGGTTTCCAGCTTCATCCATGTCCCTACAAAGGACATGAACTCAACATTTTTTATGGCTGCATAGTATTCCATGGTGTATATGTGCCACATTTTCTTAATCCAATCTATCATTGTTGGACATTTGGGTTGGTTCCAAATCTTTGCTATGCTGCATCAACATACGAAAATCAATAAATGTAATCCAGCATATAAACAGAACCAAAGAAAAAAAACACATGATTATCTCAATAGATGCAGAAAAGGCCTTTGACAAAATTCAACAACGCTTCATGCTAAAAACTCTCAATAAATTAGGTATTGATGGGACATATCTCAAAATAATAAGAGCTATCTATGACAAACCCACAGCCAATGTCATACTGAATGGACAAAAACTGAAAGCACTCCCTTTGAAAACTGGCACAAGACAGGGATGCCCTCTCTCACCACTCCTATTCAACATAGTGTTGGGAGTTCTGGCCAGGGCAATCAGGCAGGGGAAGGAAATAAAGGGCATTCAGTTAGGAAAAGAGGAGGTCAAATTGTCCCTGTTTGCAGATGACATGATTGTATATCTAGAAAACCCCATCGTCTCAGCCCAAAATCTCCTTAAGCTGATAAGCAACTTCAGCAAAGTCTCAGGATACAAAATCAATATACAAAAATCACAAGCATTCTTATACACCAATAACAGACAAACAGAGAGCCAAATCATGAGTGAACTCCCATTCACAATTGCTTCAAAGAGAATAAAATACCTAGGAATCCAACTTACAAGGGATGTGAAGGACCTCTTCAAGGAGAACTACAAACCACTGCTCAAGGAAATAAAAGAGGATACAAACAAATGGAAGAACATTCCATGCTCATGGGTAGGAAGAATCAATATCATGAAAACGGCCATACCACCCAATGTAATTTATAGATTCAATGCCATCCCCATCAAGCTACCAGTGACTTTCTTCACAGAATTGGAAAAAAAACTACTTTAAAGTTCATATGGAACCAAAAAATAGCCCGCATTGCCAAGTCAATCCTAAGCCAAAAAAACAAAGCTGGAGGCATCACGCTACCTGACTTCAAACTATACTACAAGACTACAGTAACCAAAACAGTATGGTACTGGTACCAAAACAGAGATATAGACCAATGAAACAGAACAGAGCCCTCAGAAATAATGCTGCATATCTACAACTATCTCATCTTTGACAAACCTGACAAAAACAAGAAATGGGGAAAGGATTCCCTATTTAATAAATGGTGCTGGGAAAACTGGCTAGCCATATATAGAAAGCTGAAACTGGATCCCTACCTTGCACCTTATACAAAAATCAATTCAAGATGGATTAAAGACTTAAATGTTAGACCTAAAAATCATAAAAACCCTAGAAGAAAACCTAGGCAATACCATTCAGGACATAGGCATGGGCAAGGACTTCATGTCTAAAACACCAAAAGCAATGGCAACAAAAGCCAAAATTGACAAATGGGATCTAATTAAATTAAAGAGCTTCTGCACAGCAAAAGAAACCACCATCAGAGTGAACAGGCAACCTACAGAATGGGAGAAAATTTTTGCAACCTACTCATCTGACAAAGGGCTAATATCCAGAATCTACAATGGGCTCAAACAAATTTACAAGAAAAAACAAACAACCCCATCAAAAAGTGGGCGAAGGATATGAACAGACACTTCTCAAAAGAAGACATTTATGCAGCCAAAAAACACATGAAAAAATGCTCATCATCACTGGCCATCAGAGAAATGCAAATCAAAACCACAATGAGATACCATCTCACACCAGTTAGAATGGCGATCATTAAAAAGTCAGGAAACAACAGGTGCTGGAGAGGATGTGGAGAAATATGAATACTTTTACACTGTTGGTGGGACTGTAAACTAGTTCAACCATTGTGGAAGTCAGTGTGGCAATTCCTCAGGGATCTAGAACTAGAAATACCATTTGACCCAGCCATCCCATTACTGGGTATATACCCAAAAGATTATAAATCATGCTGCTCTAAAGACACATGCACACGTATGTTTATTGCAGCATCATTTATTAAATAGGAGTTCTTTTTCTATTGCTTGTCATTGTCAACTTTGTTGAAGAACAGATGGTTGTATCTGTGCAGACTTATTTCTGTGTTCTCTAACCTGGTCATTTGGCCCACCTGTCTGTTTTTGTACTAATACCATGCTCTTTGGTTATTGCAGCCTTGTAGTATAAAGTTGGGTAATGTGATGCATCCAGTTGTGTTCCTATTGCTTAGGATTGATTTGGCCATTCGGGATCCTTTTTGGTTCTATTTGAATTTCAGAATAGTTTTTTTTTTTCTAATCTGTGAAAAATGATGTTGATAGTTTGATAGGGATAACATTGAATATGTAAATTGCTTTGGGCGATATGGCCATTTTAGTAATAATGATTCTTCCTATCCATGAGCATGGAAAGTTTTAGCCATTTGTTTGTGCGGTCTCTGAATTCCTTCAGTAATGTTTTGTAATTCTTGCCACGGGAATCTTTCACGTCCTTGGTTTGCTGTGTGCCTAGCTATTTTATTATTTTTGTGGCTGTTGTGAGTGATATTGCATTCTTAATTTGCTTCTCAGCTTGGACATTATCAGTGTATAGAAATGCCATGGACTTTTGTACATTGATTTTGTATCCTGAAACTTTACTAAAGTTGTATATCAGTTCTAAGAGCTTTTGGGCAGACACTGTATGTTTCTAGGTATAGAATAATATTGCCTGAAAAAGGAGATAGTTTAACATTCTCTCCTCCTATTTTGGATGCCTTTTATTTCTTTCTCTTTCCTGATTTTTCTTGCTAGGATTTCTAGTACTATGCTGAATAGGAATGGGGAGAGTGAACATCCTTATCTTGTTCTGGTTCTCAGGGGGAATGCTAGACATAATTTTTATTTAGCACCATGTATACAATTTGCAAAAGAAAATTACACATTATGCCACATTCTTATACTAAAACTATGTCTCATATATTTAAAAAGTCCAATTTCCTTGCATAATTCTAGCAATCACAGGCAAATCAATGTTGGGAAAAAAATTCTGATGATGAATTACTGTGAATTAAATAAGTAACATTAGAATATGTAGCTCAGACAAAAAATAATTGATCAAATATTGATCCCCTTGAAATGTGTATTTTCTAAAAGTATGTGAATACACAGTGACATAAACTATCATCCCTAGAATTCATGATTTATGTTTTAAAATTTTGCAGTAATTTTCACAAATATGGATAGACCATGATCAATAGAATAAAACAATGTGGTTGTATCAGTACTTAATAATATATCATTGAAATAAGGAAGTGAAAATGCACATAACATATAGGCACTAAAACAACCTTATAATGCTTAATCTTTTTTGTTAATGTTCAGGAGAACTAGCATACACCTTGGGTTGTTGGAGAGAGGAGAGCTGCCAGAGTTAGACCTAAGGCTTTCAGACACAGTTGGTATGATAAAAGCCATACAAATCTATATGAGAAAATAGGATGGAGAAGAAACCTCATCTAGAAGAAGTGTTTCTTTTTACTGAGATAACAATATAAAAAAATAGTGTACCCATTCATTTTTTGCTGGACAATCACCAGTTATAATCAAGAATCTTGCCATGATTATCATCTACACTCAGCTATCTGTTGGATTGTGCATAATTTGAGAGTTATGCTGAAGTCTTTCTTTACTTATTGGTTGCTCCTGTAGTCTACATCAAGTTTGCCCAAGACAAGCATCCCAAGGCTGAGAACAACGATGGGGCCAGTCATATTTCTTACGTCTTTACTTATTATATATTTCATGTAGCTCAGTTAACATAAGGCCTTAGAAGATGTTATCTTCAGAGATAATTTATGTTTACTGCTGGCAAATAGCAAAGTCTTTAAAATGCCAGATCAACTAACAACAATCAGAGATTCAGAGGGTGCAAAACTAGCCTTTACTTTGTACAAATGTATGTATTTTTAGTTAAGCTGTATGAGATATAACTCAAAGTCTGAGTATACTGATGCTTCTATTATCAGATCATTTAACTCTAATTTTTGTCCTTATACCTTTGAGTTTCTCCAATATTGTGCTTAGATTTTCAGCGACTTCATTGAGAACATAAAATTGTATTGGGTAAAACAGCTTTAAATTCCAGGTTTAGTCTTCTAGCCACTTTTTACAGCAAATCTTGGCTCTTTTTAAAAATGTGTGGCCTACATGGCATAGTGATTAATATTATGTGTGTTCAGTTGTCAATTACTTGAAGAAGATATACTTCTTAGTTTAGCCATATTCAAAATGACCTTATGAGTCTATCTAAAAATGCAAAATCTGTCATTTTTGTTTGCCTTTATTGAGGAGGAGGATAGAAGTCAAATTTATGCATGACATACTTTGCTACTGATATGGTTTGGCTGTGTCCCCACCCAAATCTCACCTTGAATTGCAATAACCATCCTCCTCCATGTCAAGGATGGGGCCAAGTGGAGAGAATTGAATCACAGGGCCAGTTTCCTCCATGCTTTTCTCATGATAGAGAATAATTCTCAGGAGTTCTGATAGTTTCATAAATGGGAGTTCCCTTGCACAAACTCTCTTGCCTGCAGCCATGTAAAATGTGCTTTTGCTCCTCCTTTGCCTTCCACCATGATTGAGAATCCTCCCCGGCCATGTGGAACTATGAGTCCATTAAACCTGCTTCCTTTGTAAATTACTTGGGTATATCCTTATTAGCAGTGTGAAAACAGACTAATGTGGCTAGATTATGATGCTAAGGGATGTTGTTAACGTATATATTTGGGGAGAAAGGTTGGTGTTATGTATTTTAACCAGGCAGCATATTAGATAAGCATTGATTGCAAAATGCCTTCTAATAGAATTTGCCCTCAACAATATCATGGCCAACAGTCACAAATGGACACCTGATTTAAAATCATATAACTTCATTTTCCTCAATTTTTTGACTGACATTTGAATAGAGTTAATCCCTCATTTAAAAAACATGAACTCCAAGTTTCCATAGACTCAAGATGGAGAGATTACTAGTAAATAATGAATAAATATGTATGAACAGATAAGGCAACAATTTGAGAGAGAGGAAGAGAGGATCAAAATGGAATTATAAAAATCATGAGAAGAATGTAAAAGGAAAGAGTAACTTCCTGTCACTTCTGTATTTCTGAGACATGTCTGCACTTCCTGCAATTGTGTATGGTATGCTTACCTTGTAGAACTTAATAAATCCTTTTTTACATATGCATATTAGGGTTTTATTTTAAGAATACAAGCCTATATAACTCACTGTTCATACTGTTTAAGTAGTAAGTTTGTTTGACTTTCCTTTAAATGTTATTATTAAAAAAACAATAGGTATATATAAAAATATTTTTCGTTGATATCTATATATCCAAGTAAACATAAATTTTGATAAGATTTCTCACTGAAGAATGCACAGCTCAATACTTACAAATACTGCTAAAATATGTAGGATACAGTCCAAGTGCGTGTAGTAGAAATGACAGATGAATTATATTGATAGTGATAATCCCAATACCTTTATCTTAAGCTTAGTGAATCTTCTCTTCACATATTTGTCTTGAGGAGATGACCATAGTTTGGACTAGATGAGTGCTTTTGAAACTCTTTGACCAAAGTCTCTTCAGGTATGATTCTAGAAGATAAACTATCCCTTTTTTTTTTTTTTTTTTTTTGAGACGGAGTCTCTCTCTGTCGCCCAGGCTGGAGTGCAGTGGCGCGATCGGCTGACTGCAAGCTCTGCCTTCCAGGTTCACGCCATTCTCCTGCCTCAGCCTCCCGAGTAGCTGGGACTACAGGTGCCTGCCACCACGCCCGGCTAATTTTTTGTATTTTTAGTAGAGATAGGGTTTCACTATGTTAGCCAGGATGCCAGGATGGTCTCGATCTCCTGACCTCGAGATCCACCCACATAAACTATCTTTATAAAAGCCAGGGTCTTGATTCCTAGATGTTTTTAAACCTAAACATTTATGAATTTATCCATGACAAGATCACTGTTTGTAGTAAGGTTTCTTTTGAAAGAGTTTTGAGTACTTAGACATACCTCAGAGATATTCTGGGTACTGTTGCAGACCATAACAGTAAAGCAAATATCACAATAAAGTGAGTCATATACATTTTTTGGTTTTCCAGTGTATATAATATTTATATTTATAGTTTACTGCATTCTATTAAGTGTGGAATAGCATTGTGCTAAAAAATTTACTTGTCTTAATTAAAAATACTCTATTGCTAAAAAATTCTAAAAAAGTGTATATATGCTGTTGGAAAAATGGCACCCACAGACTTATTTCATACTGGGTTGCCACAAACCTTCAATTTGTAAAAATCATAGTATCTGTGAAGTACAGTAAAGGAAAGCACAATACAATTAACACAGCTTATTTTTTTAAATGTTTATTTTGTATTATACTTTAAGTTCTCAGATACATGTATAAATGTGCAGAACATGCAGGTTTGTTACATAGGTATACATGTGCCGTGGTGGTTTGCTGCATCCAGCAACCCGTCATCTCCATTAGGTATTTGTCCTAATGCTATCCCTCCCATAGCCCCCCACCTCCCAATAAGCACCGGTATTTGATGTTCCCTTCCCTGTGTCCATATGTTCTCATCGTTCAATTCTCACTTATGAGTGAGAACATACAGTATTTAGTTTTCTGTTCCTGTGTTAGTTTGCTGAGAATGATGGTATCCAGCTTCATCCATGTCCCTGCAAAGGACATGAACGCATCCATATCCCTGCAAAGAACATGAACTCATCCTTTTTTATGACTGCATAGTATTCCATGGTGTATATGTGCCACATTTTCTTTATCCAGTCTATCATTAATGGGCATTTGGTTTGGTTCCAAGTCTTTGCTATTGTAAATAGTACTGCAATAAACATACGTGTGCATGTGGCTTTATAGAATAATTTATAATCCTTTGGGTATATACCCAGTACTTAAATTACATAATTGTATCCATATGAAATATCTAGAGTTTATTGTGAATCTCTAAATTTTACATAATTTTTTGCAGCAGACTTATGTTTCAACTTTTTTTTTTTACATTCAACATTAGGTTTTAGAGATTTTGTTATATTTATTCCTATAACTCAAATTATTATTTTAGTTATAGTGTACTGTTTTATGGGAACCCTGATTTTGTATAAGTTTCATATTTTCCTCTTGGTGGACACGATAATGTTTCCAAACTTTATGTCATTGTTAAATATAATGTTGCATGAAACCTTTATTTATATTCCTTGTGCACATTTGACATTTTTGTGTTGCGTTTATGGTATAGTTAGAGGTTTATAATTTTTATAACACTCATCTAAAATTATATATATATATATACAAACACTTTCCAAAGCAGTTAACAGCTTAGTTTCCTGAGTGTATGATATAGAATGCTATTTCCTTGTTTTTCTTCTTTGACATTTATATAATTAACATTATTATTAAACAAATTCAACAGTCATTTTCCCATCAGTGAATTTCCTGTACAAAATATATTTTTTTACTTTACTGTACAAAACATATTTTTTACTTATTGCTGTTTAATGTTTCTAAAAAAAGGTTTCATATAAATTGTTTGTAAATTTGAATTTTATTGCAATTTTATCAGTCTGCCTATATTTCTTTTTAATTTTTATTACTCATAGCCTAGTATATTTGAGATATAGAAATTCTCCTCCTTAACAATTTGGTCAAATCACTTCTAAAACTACAATTTATATATTAATCAGCAAAATTTTCTTTATAATATTCCATTCTTGTGTTAGTTTGCTGAGAATGATTTTTTTTTTTTTTTTTTTTGAGACGGAGTCTCGCTCTGTCGCCCAGGCTGGAGTGCAGTGGCGCGATCTCGGCTCACTGCAAGCTCCGCCTCCCGGGTTCACGCCATTCTCCTGCCTCAGCCTCCCGAGTAGCTGGGACTACAGGCGCCCGCTACCACGCCCGGCTAATTTTTTGTATTTTTAGTAGAGACGGGGTCTCGATCTCCTGACCTCGTGATCCGCCCGCCTCGGCCTCCCAAAGTGCTGGGATTACAGGCGTGAGCCACCGCGCCCGGCCGAGAATGATTTTTTAAATAGAGGACTAGCAAAGGAGATAGAGTATAAGTTACTTTCACTGTGATTCATGACACTGGAACACTGAATCACATTTTCTATTATATTTTTAATGTTTTAGTTATGCTTAAGTCTATTATTTTATAATCAATTAAAAGTTGTCTAATGCTTATAAAACATGACAATCAAAGCAATCTTAAAAATAAATCCTTCAGTGAAGTGTGTTTTGTTACTATTTCAGCGGCCCAGCATTTATACCATCTCCGTATATTGGAGCAAAACCACTAGTAGACTTTGGTAGCAGGTAGTAACTAGCTTTCTGTACAGACACCTAAAATGAGATGTATATTCTTCCTGTGCCCCCTCTTCTTTTTGAGAATATGTGGACGTGGTCTATGCACTGAGTTTAAGATGCTTTGTGCTGAGACTTTACATTTGAAAGATTCACACAAATTTGCAGGTTTGATCAAAGATTACTTCCAGAAGTGCCACGGTGGCCATGTCCACATACATGTACAGATCGGGGGGATCTGCAGCCTATTTTGAACAGTGACATTCCCAAGGACAATGTCAGAGTATTTGTGATGACAATTAGCTACAAGCTAAGTTCATTATTCTTATGCCTGGATTTCAATTATGCCAACAATACTTTGATTCTTACCAAAGTCTAATTCTCCACCCATCACATAAATTCTAGATGCTACCAATTAGCCTGCCAAGAAAAATATCTTATTTCCTAAATACATTGGAATTAGCTTCTAATGTTTGATTATGATAAGTGATTCAGCATGTTCTCCATATATTCTTATAAAAACTCTATTCATTATTTTCTGATAATGTTTGACCAAAAAAAATGCTCTTTGATACTGCTCCTTTCCTTTATGTTGAGGCTATAATAATTATATTATTATTTTCAAAATTGCTTATTTAACTCCTTAAAGACATTAAATAAGAAAATAAACAAAAAACTGTAACAGCTATGAACCATGATTAGGGGTCCTTTATAATAAGTGTCACACAGCTAGCCAGGGAAGAGGTTTTATAACAGAAGTAGCAAACGCTTTCATATCTCCACTTTTCAATAAGTCGTTTTTCTTGATGTTACTGAGAAGGTCCCTGAGAATATTTTTCTAAAACAAATATGTACTAAGTTTGAGGACATGAGTGGCTAGTGTGAGTGTGACAGTATTCATAGTATCCTCTGTGATCAGATATTCCCTATTTGTGCTTTATTCCTGTGAAAATGTTAGCAGAAGAACTAAGGATATGTTTTGGGGAAAATCACTGAGGCTTACAAAATAAAACAAACTAAAAGCTAGTCATTGAATTCATGTACAAAGTGTACGTGTCCTAAATTTTCAAACCCATATGTCAAGTAAGTTGACAAGAAGTTAATAAAATATTTAAATAAAATATAAACAGAAATAAAAACTTCGTTACTAATTTTTGTTTAGTGGCTCTCATAAATGCTGTCATTATATAAGCCATTTTCATTGCCAAGGTATATATTTACTTAAATTTTTTATATTTTTATTTTTATAATCCTTCAATGATAATATAAAAATATATGTTTTTTAAAATAGTGTTTTTTAAATTTTGGTGAATGTTTTGCTATAACTAGTTTAATGAAGAGCTCTCTTGTGAATATCAAAATTTCAGACTATTTAAATAAACAAACTAATTTGAATATATTTTCAGTTAAACACAGGAAACATTAAAATTGAATTTAAACTAAAATGTTGTAGATCAACAAAAATATTTTTTACGATAATTGAAGTGTGTGGTTCATCTACCCATACTATTTATTGGAAGTAAATAGAAATCAAAATTCAGAGATATAAATGGTTTAGAAAATCAAATGAGAAAGAAGTCAGCCTAATCCAGGAGCACATTTATATCCTTGGATACCACTTACTAATAGTGATACTATGTTTACAGTGTTCCATTTCATAATTATGAATACAAGATAGTCTTATTATATTGTCAGAATTAATGAGAAAAATTGAATAAACCATATTTTAATTACTTTTTTTGTTCTAAATTTAATCTTAACTAATGGGTGAACTATATGACTTTTTTTTTTTTTTTGAGGAGGAGTTTCACTCTTGTTGCCCAGGCTAGAGTGCAATGGCACAATCTTGGCTCACAGCAACCTTCAACCTCTCGGGTTCAAGCAATTCTCCTGCCTCACCCTCCCGACTAACTGAGATTACAGGCGCCCACCACCACGCCTGGCTAATTTTTGTATTTTTAGTAGAGACGAGGTTTCACATACTGACTTTTAATAATGTCTCAGTTTCAGTGTGAATAAACTGATGATATTCGAATAAAACTTCATTTAATTTTCACAATAGTCCTTTAAATGTGCATATTTAAATACCAGTATATTCAACAAGTAGTATACACATTCAGCTTTGCAGTGTATATTCTCTTTTTTAACTGGAGAAGTTTAACATAATTACATTAATTAATCAGTTTGATGCAACAGTATGTGCCAGAAAAAGGTAAAATATAAAATGTATTCATAGAATCGTATTTTCTTTTAAAATTTATTTTCTCACAATAATTTCTGCAACAAAATTACCAATGACAAATTATATGTGTGTGTAAATGCGCAATCACAAATACTCATTTGGACAGAGTATCCATCTGTGAGTATTCTGACTTGGTAATATTTAAGGCATAATAAAATTATTTATTTGAGTCTTCTTGAGAAAAGGTATCCAAATGACATATTAAGTTACAGAAGTGTGTACTTCATATTTTAAATATTATGTAATAACAATGAACAATCATTCACAATGTTTCTTGTATTTATTAAGTTATTTGAAAAACAACACTGTGTTTTGTTATAAATCTATTCATACGTCATCCAGAGTACAATTTGATTTTGGCGCTGCTTATTTATCTTTTGATTCTTTCACTCTTTTTATTTCTCTCCCAAGACCCAAGTGTTCTCATCTAATATCATGATTGCTTTATTCATTTTCTTTAATAGTGTCATTTTTTTCTCCAGGTCTAAAATAAGTTTATTTTCAATATACAAAATGTAGTCAAATATGAATTGAGATATAATATTTTACAGGGTATTAGTGAAGCTATTAATATGTCTACCTAAATACTTTCACATTTTTTGTGCATTTCCTTTGGTTAATATGAGTTTAGATTTTAACTGTAGAGCATATATCCGAATTTTAATGAAATTTTGTTGGCATCATCAAAGGCCCCACAGTAGAGTGGTAAACCTGAGAGAACTTGCAAATTGTAATTACACATGAACTGTAGATGACCAATTCTAAACAAAACTTCTATTTAGACACATTCATGCACATTCTTTGTATTACATGTCAGCACTGCTCTATTTATACATAACTAATCAAAACTTTTTAGTAGTATAATTTTCTAGTGTGTTGAGAGTTAAGAGTTGGTTACAAGACTTATTTCATTACTTTGGGCAGGTTGCTGTATTTCTTTATGCTGAATTTTCTGATTGATTGAAAGGGGAAAATATTTTTTCACCTTTGTTTGTTATTGTGAGGTTATTCAACTTATTGAATATTATTTTAAAACATTTCTTAATTTAAAACTTTTGTTCTATTCTTTAAGATCATTTTATTCAATAACTTGCTTCAAATATTTTGATAAGTAATGAGAACATTTTTGTTATCTCTAACCCTTATTTTAAAAGTGTATTAAATAGTGAGTAGACAACTCTGGGTAGAATGTAAGAGGTGAGACATATTTGTTATGTAACAATAAAATTAGTTTAGAATGACTGTCTTCTGCAGACATTACCTTAATTTACATGACATTTTATTAAGATCATATTAACATCCATCATTTAAATGTTTGTAATTATCTATTATCTGTCTTTGAAATTTAACATTTGTTAAACTGCTCTTATGAAATGGCACTTTGAAAAAAGGCAAGCAATAAATGCAACTCTGAAAATAGCAGGTTTATAAATGGGTAATGACAGGATTTATTAATCCCTGCAATGAAATTAACAGTGCATAGTTAAGAAGAAATAATTCAGTTCCTGGGCTTGAAGAATATCAAAGAGACCTTTAAATGTGATCTAATATAAATCTAGTTTTAATCTTTAAACATAATTATGAGGTTCAGTAAATTCTACCTTAAGCTAAAAATGTATTTAAAATATGGGGGGTTATTTTTTTCCTAGAAAATCCAAGTAATGAATCTGAAAAACTTCAGAATGAGCAGCTCAAAAACAACTATGTTTATTACAGACAAAAAAAGTGAAACTATGAGATTGAAGTATACACAGAGATATCCAATTATGATTCAGAATGGGTAGAGATGGTTATTCTACTCATGTTTTAAAAATAAATCATCTAAGACAGAAGCTTAATTGCATAAAAAGTAGAAACTATAAATTTTATTTAAATAGGATACCATAATAAGTTTAATATTCAGGAGCTAGTAGCACAAATGTGATTATTGCTGATTCTCTTTTTCTAAAAATACATTTTGTTATGTATATTGAAAATTGAAAATATACAACATGATGCCATGAAATAGAGGTAGATAGTACCATAGATTACCATAGAGAAGCAAATCAACAATCCATCATGTCGCATAGTTATACAATTTGTTTTGTTTGGCTTTTGTGGCAGAACAAGGTAAAATCTACTGGGTTAGCATGAATCCAAAATACAGCACAATTTTATTATTTATATTTATCATGTTGAACGTTAAATTTCTAGATTTTAGTGGGCTTCAATGGGCTCAGAACTGTTCCTTTGCAGATTCTACAGAAACAGTGTTTCCAACCTGGTGAATAGAAACACAGGTTCCATTCTGTGAGATGAATCCACACATCATAAAGCAATTTCAGTGATAGATTGTTTCTAGTTTTTATGGCAGAATATTCAGTTTTGCACTGTAGGCTTCAATGGACTCAGGAATGTCATTTCTTAGATTCTACAGAAAGAGTGTTTTCAATCTGGTGAATCAAAACACAGGTTCCATTTAGTGAGTTATATCAACACATCACAAAGCATTTTCACAGATAGTTTGTTTCTAGTTTTTATCATGGGATATTCAATTTTTCACTAGAGGCCTCAGTAGGCTCAGAAATGTTCCTTTGTAGATTCTACCAAAAAAAAAAAAAAAATGTTTCCAACCGGGGGAATCAAAACACAAGTTTCATTCTGTAAGATGAATCCACACATCACAAAGCATTTTCAAAGATAACTTGTTTCTACTTTTTCTCATGGGATATTTGGATTTTGGCTTTAGGCCTCATTGGGCTCAGAAATGTCCCTTCCTAGATTCCACAAAAAAGATCGTTTCCAACCTGGTGAATGAAAACACAGGTTCCATTCTCTGATATGAATCCACACATCACAAAGCATTTTCACAGATAGCTTGTTTCAAGTTTTTACTGGGGGATATTTGGTTTTCAATATAGGCTTCAATGGGCTCAGAAATGTCCCTTCATAAATTCTACAAAAGGAGTGTTGCCAACCTGGTGAATCAAAACCAGTTTCCATTCTATTAGATGAATCCACCTGTCACAAAGCATTTTCACAGATAGTTTTTTTTCTAGTTTTTAGCGTGGGATATTCAGTTTTTCACTATAGGCCATAATGGGCTCAGAAATGTCCCTCTGTAGATTCTACAAAAAGATTGTTTCCAACTTGGTGAATCAAAACACAGTTTCCATTCTGTGAGATGAATCCACACAGTGCAAAGTATTTTCACCTATAGCTTGTTTCTAGTTTTTATCATGGTATATTATGTTTTTCACTATAGGACTCAATGGGCTTAGAAATGTCCCTTTGTAGATCTTAAAAGAAAAGCTTTTCTAATCTGGTAAATCACAACACAGGTTTGATCATGGAGATGAATCCACACATCACAAAGCATTTTCACAGATAGTTTGTTTCCAGTTTTTATCGCAGGATATTGGATTTATAACTGTAGGCTTCAATGGGCTCTGAAATGTCCCTTCATAGATTCTACAAAAAAGATAGTTTCCTACCTGATGAATCAAAACACTGGTTCCATTGTGAGATGAATCCACACAGAACAAAGCATTTTGACAGATTGATTGTTTCTAGTTTTTATCACAGCATAATCGGTTTTACATTATAGGCTTCAACGGGAACAGGAATGTTTCTTCGTATATACTACAAACAGAATGTTTCCAACCTTGTGAGTGAAAACAAAGGTTTCATTCTGTGAGATAAATTCACACATCACAAAGTATTTTCACAGATAGCTTGTTTCTAGTTTTTATCACAGGTAATCGGTTTTTCACTATGGGCTTCAATGGACTCAGAAATGTTCCTTCGCATATAGTACAGAAGGAGTGTTTCCAACCAGGTGAATCAAAACACAGGTTCTATTCTGTGAGATGAATTCACACATCACAAAGCAGTTTTACACATAGCTTGTTTCTGTTTAAATCACAGGATATTTGGTTTTATAATATAGGTTTCACTGGGAACAGGAATGTCCCTTTGTATATACTACAAAAAGAATGTTTCCAACCTGGTGAATAAAAACACAGTTTCCATTCTGTGAGAAGAATTCACATGTCACAAAGCATTTTTTTAGATAGCTTGTTTTAGTTTTTATCGTGGGATATTCAGTTTTTCACTATGGACTTCAATGAGCTCAGAAATGTCCATTTGTAGATTCTATATATAAAAAAAAAGTGTTTCTAACCTGGTAAATGAAAACATAGGTTTAGCCCTGTGAGGTGAATCCACACGGCACAGAGCATTTTTCACAGATAGCTTGTTTCTAGTTTGTATCGCGGGATATTTGGTTTTCACTATAGGCCTCAATGGGCTATGAAATGTCCCTTAGTAGATTCCGCAAGAACAGTGTTTCCTACCTGGTAAATCAAAACACAGATTCCATTCTGTGAGATGAATCCACCCATCACAAAACATTTTCACAGGTAGTTGGTTTCTAGTTTCATCAAGGGATATATAGTTTCTCACTGTAGGCTTCAATGAGCTCAGGAATGTCATTTTGTAGATTCTACAGAAAGAGTGTTTCTAACCTGGTGAATTAAAACACAGGTTCCCTTCAGTGAATTGAATCCACACATCACATAGCATTTTCACAGATAGTTTGTTTTGAGGTTTCATCACGTGATATTTGGTTCTTCACTATAGGCTTCAATAGGCTTAGAAATGTCCCTATTTAGAGTCTACAAAAAAAATTGTTTTTTACCTGGTGAATCAAAACACAAGTTTCATTCTGTAAGATGAATTAACGTATGACAAAGCATTTTCAAAGATAGCTTGCTTCCACTTTTTATCGTGGGATATTTGGTTTCTTGCTATAGGCCACATTGGGCTCAGAAATGTCCCTTCCTAGATTCACAAAAAGAGTGTTTCCAATCTAGTGAATCAAAACACAGGTTTCATTCTGTGAGATGAATCCACACATCACAAAGCATTTTCACAGATAGCTTGTTTCTAGTTGTTATTGTGGGATATTCGGTTTTCAATATAGGATTCAATGGGCTCAGAAATGTGCCTCTGTAGATTGTATAAAAAGTGTGTTTCCGACCCGTTGCATCAAAACACAGGTTCCATTCTGTGAGATGATTCCACTTACGACAAAGAATTTTTAAAGATAGCTTGCTTGGAGATATTTGGGTTTTCACTATCGGTCTCATGGGGCTCAAAAATGTCCCTTGGTAGATTCTACATAAACAGTCTTTCAAACCTGGTGAATCAAAACACACACTCCATTCTGTGAGATAAATCCACACATCACAAAGCATATTCACAGATAGATTGATCCTAGTTTTTATCATGGGATATTCGGTTTTTCACTATAGGCTTCAATGGGCACAGAAATGTTCCTTCATATATAGTACAAAAAAAAATTTGTGTCCCACTTGCTGAATCAAAACACCATTTCCATTCTGTGAGATGAATCCACACAGCACAAAACATTTTCACAGATAGATTGTTTCTAGATTTGCGCAGGATATTCTGTTTTTTACTACATGCCTCAATGGGCTCAGAAATGTCACTTCATAGATTCTACCAAAAGAGTGACACAGTTTCCATTCTGTGAGATGAATCCACACAGCACAAAGCATTTTTATGAAGAGCTTGTTTCTAGTTGTTATCATGGGATATTTGGGTTTTTATTGTATACTTAAATGAGCTCAGAAATGTCCATTCATATATTCCACAAAAAGAGTGTTTCCAACCTCGTGAATCAAAACACAGGTTCCATTCTGTGAGATGAAAACACACATCACAAAGCATTTTCACAGATCATTTGCTTGTACTTTTTATCATGGGATATTTGTTTTTTCACTATAGGCTTCAAAGGGGACAGAAATGTCCCCGTATATACTACATAAAGAGTGTTTCATACCTGGTGAATGAAAATGCAGCTTTCATTTTGTGACAAGAATACACACATCACAAAGCATTTTGACAGATAGCTTGTTTCTAGGTTTATTGCAGGATATTCTGTTTTTCACTATAGGCTTCTATGGGCTCAGAGATGTAACTTCGCATATACTACATAAAGAGTGTTTCCAACCAGGTGAATCAAAACACAGGTCCAATTTTGTGAGATGAATCCACAAATCACAAAGCTTTTTGAGAGATAGCTTGTTTCTAGTTTTTATCGCAAGTATTCGTTTTTTTACTATAGGCTTCAACTGAAACAGAAATATATACTCCGTATATATTTCCGTATAGTATATACGTATATACTATATATCCGTATATATAGTATATTTCCGTATATACCTCCGTATATACTACAAAAAGATTGTTTCCAGTGTAGTGAATCAAAACACAGTTTTCATTTTGTGAGATGAATCCACACATCATGAAGCATTTTCACAGATAGCTTATTTCTGGTATTTATTGTGGGACATTTGGTTTTTCACTATAGACTTAATAGAGCACTGAAATGTCCCTTTGTAGATTCTACAAAAAGAATGATTCTAACCTGGTAAATCACAATACGGGATTGGTTCTGTGAGATGAATTATTACATCACAAAAAATTTCACTTATACCTTGTTTATAGTTTTAATCACAGGATATTTATTTTTTCAATATAGTATTCAATGGGTTCAGAAATGTGTCCTCATGTATACTACATGCAGAGTGTTTCCAACCTGTTGAATAAAAATACAGGTTCCATTCTGTGAGAAGTATCCACACATCACAAAGCATTTTCACATATAGCTTGTTTCTAGTTTTTATTGCGGTGTATTCAGTTTTTCACTAAAGACTTCAGTGAGCTCAGAAATGTATGTTGGTAGATTCTACAAAAAGAGTGTCTCTAACCTGTTAAATGAAAACCCAGTATTAGCTTTCTAAGATGAATCCACACATCACAAAGCATTTTCAGAGATAGCCTGTTTCTAGTTTTTATCGTGTGATATTTGATTTTATACTATAGACTACAAAGGGCTCAGAAATTTTACGTTGTATATACTACATAAAGAGTATTTCCAACCTAACGAATCAAAACACAGGTTTAACTCAGTGAGATGAAGCCACATATCACAAAGCATTTTCACAGATAGCTTGTTTCTAGTTTTTTTCACAGGATATTTGGTTTTTCACTTCAGGCTTCAATGGAAACAGAAACGTCCCTTCATATATACTACAAAAAATGTGTTTCCAACCTGTTGAACCAAAACAGGTTTCATTCTGTGAGAAGAATCTGCACATCAGAAAGCATTTTCATAGATAGCTTGTTTTGTTGTTTTTATTTCAGAATATTGAGTTTTTCACTATAAGCTTCAACGGACTTAGTCATGTCTCTTCATATATGCAATAAAAAGAGTGTTTCCAACGTGCTGAATCTAAAAACAGATTCTATTCTGTGAGATGAATCTATACATCACAAAGCATTATCACAGATAGCTTGTTTCTGGTTTTTAATTGCAGTTTTTTTGGTTTTTCACTAAAGACTTCAATGAGCTCAGAAATGTATGTTGGTAGATTCTACAAAAAGAGGGTTTCTAACCTGGTAAGTGAAAACCTAGTTTGAGCTTTCTGAGGTGAATCCACACTTAACAAAGCATTTTCACAGATAGTTTGATTCTAGTTTTTATCACGTGATATTCAATTTTTTAGTATAGACTTCAAAAGTCTCAGAAATTTTTCAACATATATACTACATAAAGAGTATTTCCAAGCTGGTGAATCAAAATACTGTTTCCATGCTGTGCGACGAATTCACACATCACACAGAATTTTGAGAGACAGCATGCTTCTCATTTTTAGGGCGGCATATTCGGTTTTTCACTATAGGCTTCAATGGAAACAGAACTGTCTCTTCGTATCTACTACAAACAGTGTTTCCAAACTGGTGAATCAAAACACAGATTTAGCTCTTTAAGATGAATCCACACATCACAAAACATTTTCACAGATTGTTTGTTTCTAGTTTTTATCACAGGATATTCTGATTTTCCTATAGTCTTCAAATGGCTCAGAAATGTTTCTTCGTATATACTACTTAAAGAGAAATTCCAGCATGGTGAATCAAACAGAGTTTCCATTCTGTGGGTTGAATCCATACATCACAAAGCATTTTCAAGGATAGCTTGTTTCCTGTTTTTATCATGGCATATTAGGTTACTCACTATGAAAGCTAAGAAACGTCTTTTGTTAAGATTCTACCAAAAGAGTGTTTCTAACCTGGTAAATAAAAACACAAATTTAGCTTTGTGAGATAAATCCACACATCACAAAGTATTTTCACAGATAGCTTGTTTTTAGATTTTTTTCATGGCGTATTTGTTTTCACATTATAGGCTTCAAAGGGAATAGAATTGTCACTTCATACATACTACAAAAAGCGTGTTTCTAACCTGGTGAATAAAAACACAGGTTTCCTTCTGTGGGAAGCATCCACATATCACAATGCATTTTTATAGGTAGCTAGTTTTTAGTTTTTATCACAGGATATATGGTTTTTAACTATAGTTCTCAATGGGCTCGGAAATGTCCCTTCATTTTTTTTTTTTCCAAGAGTATTTCCAACGTGGTGAATCAAAGGACAGTTTTCATTCTGTGAGATAAAACCACACAGCACAAAGCATTTTTACACAGAGCTTGTTTCTAGTTTTTGTTGCACAATATTCTGTATTTCACTATAGACTTCAGTGAGCTCAGGAATGTCCTCTTGCAGATTATACAAAAGGAGTATTTGTAACCTGATAAATCAAAACACAGGTTTAGCTCTGAGATGAATCCATACATTACAAAACATTTTTGAAGATAGCTTGTTTATAGTTTTTAATCTCAGGATATTCGATTTTTCACTATAGGCTTCATAGGGCTCAGAAGTGACCCTTTGTACATACCACATAACGGGTGTTTCCAACATTGTGAATCTAGACTCAGTTTCCATTCTGTGAGATGAATCTACACATTCCAAAGCATTTTGACAGATAGCTTTTTATCTAGTTTTTATCATGGGATGTTTGGTTTTTCACAATAGGCTTCAATGGAAACAGAAATATCTCCTCGTATATGCGAGAAACAGTGTTTCCAACCTGGTGAATCAAAACACAGGTTTAGCTCAGTGAGATGAATCCATACATCACAAAACATTTTCACAGATAGCTTGTTTCCAGTTTTTATTGCAGCATATTCGGTTTTTCACTACAGGCTTCAAAGGGCTCAGCAATTTTTCTTCTTATATACTACATAAAGAGTATTTCCAACATGGTGAATCAAACACAGTTTCCATTCTGTGAGTTGAATCCACACATCGCAAAGCATTTTCACAGACAGCTTGTTTCTAGTTTTTATCATGGGATATTCAGTTTCACATTATAGGATTCAAAGGGAACAGTAATGTCCCTTCATATATGCCACAAAATGATTCTTTCCAACTTGGTGGATGAAAACACTGGTTCCATTCTGTGAGTAGAATTCACACTCCACCAAGCATTTTCACAGGTAGCTTGTTTCTAGTTTTTATTGAGGGATACACAGTTTTTCACTGCAGGCCTCAATGGGCTCAGAAATGTCTCTTCATAGATTTTATGAAAAGAATCTTTCCAACGTTGTGAATCAAAAGAGTTTCCATTCTGTGAGATGAAACCACAGAGCACAAAACATTTTCACAGAGAGCTTTTTTCTAGTGTTTGTCATGGGATATTCTGTCTTTCACTCTAGACTTCAATGAGCCAGAAATGTCCCTCTGTAGATTCTACAAAAAGTGTTTTTAACCTTTTGAATTAAAACACAGGTTTAGCTCTGTGAGATAAATTCATACATCACAAAACATTTTCACAGATAGTTTGTTTCTAGTTTATATCATGGGATATTTGGGTTTTCACTATAGGCTCCAAAGGGCTCAGGAATATCCCTTTGTATATAGTACATAAAGCATAATTACAACCTGTGTAATCAAAACACAGGTTCCATTCAGATTTTCATTACAGGCTTCAATGTGCTAAAAAATGTCCCTTCGTATATACTACATAAAGAGTATTTCCAATGTGGAGAATCAAAACACAGGTTTCATTCTATTAGATGAGTCCACACATCACAAAACATATTGACAGATAGCTTGTTTCTAGTTTGCATGGTGTGATATTTGATTTTACCTTATAGGCGTCAATGGGAAGAGGAATGTCCCTTTGTATGTACTAAAAAAGAGTATTTCTAACGTGTTGAATCAAAACAAAGGATTAACTCTGTGAGATGAATCCATTTATCACAAAACATTTTCACAGATAGCTTGTTTCTAGTTTTTGGTGTGGGATATTTAGTTTTTCACTATAGGCCCCAGTGGTCTCAGAAATGTCCCTTTGTAGATTCTACAAAAAATGTGTTTCCAACCTGGTGAATCAAACACGGTTTCCATTCTGTGAGATGAATCCACACATCACAAAACATTTTCACAGATCCCCTTTTTTGTTTGTTTTTATCGTGGGATATTCAGTTTTCCACTACAGGCCACAATGGGCTCAGAAATGTTACTCTGGAGATACTACAAAAAGATTGTTTCCAAACTAGTGAATTGAAACACAGTTTTCATTCTGTGAGATGAATTAACACCACACAAAGTATTTTCACAGACAGCTTGTTACTACTTTTTATCACTAGATATTCAGTTTATCACTATAGACTTCAATGACCTCAGAAATTTTTTGGAAAATTCTACAAAAAGAGTTTTTCTAACTTGGTAAAACAAAACACAAGTTTAGCTCTGTAAGATGAATCCATACATCACAAAGTATTTTCAAACATGGCTTGTTTCTAGTTTTTATCGCTGGATGTTTGGTTTCTCACTGTAGGCTTCCACGGGCTCAGAAATGTCTTTTCGTACTTTTCGTATACACTACCTAAAGAGTGTTTCCAACCTCGTGAATCAAGGCACAGGCTCCATTCTGTGAGATGAACCCACACATTACAAAACATTTTGACAGATAGCTTGTTTCTAGTTTTTATCGTGGGATATTGGTTTTTTCACTATAGGTTTCAATGGAACAGAAATGTCTTTTTGTATATACTACAAAAAAAAACTGTTTCCAACCTGGTGATTCAAAACATAGGATCCATTCTGTAGGAAGAATCCACACATCATTGTTTCCAACCTGGTGAATCAAAACACAAGTTTAATTCTGTGAAATGGATTCACATATTACAAAGCATTTTCACAAATAGCTTGTTTCTAGTTCTTTGCACGTGATATACAGTTTTTCATTATTGGCCTCAATAAGCTCAGAATTATCCCTTCGTAGTTTGACCAAAAGAGTGTTTCCAACCTGGTGAATCAAAACAGTTTCCAGTCTGTGAGATGAATCCACAAAGCACAGAGCATTTTCATTGATAGCTTGTTTCTACATTTCATTGCAGGATATTCGGTTTTTCACTGTAGGCTTCAATGGGCTCAGAAATGTCCCTTCATACATGCTACAAAATAAGCCCTTTCAAGCTGGTAAATGAAACACAGGTTTAACTCTGTGAGGTGAATCCATACATCACACAGCATTTTCACAGATAGTTTGTTTCCATTTTTTATCACGGGATATTCGGTTTTGCAGTATAGGCCTCAATGGGTTCAGAAATGTCCTTTCATGTATACTACACATACAGTGTTTCTAACTTGGTGAATGAAAACACAGGTTCTATTCTGTGAGATGAATCTCATATCAGAAAGCATTTTGACAGATAGCTTTTTTTATAGTTTTTATGGCAGGATATTTTTGTTTTACTTTACAGGCTTCAATAACTACAACAATGACTCTGCATATATACCACAAAAAGAGTGTTCCAAACTGGTCAATAAAAACACAGGTTCCAGTTAGAAGAATTCACACACCACGAAGCATTTTCACAGATAGCTTTTTTTCTTGTTTTTATTGTGGGACATTTGCAATGTAAACTTAAATAGGCTAAAAATTTTCCCTCTTAGATTCTACAATAAGAGTATTTCCAACCGGATAAATCAAAACACAGGTTTAACTCTGTGTGATGAATCCATATATCACAAATCATTTTCACAGACAGCTTGTTTCTAGTTTTATCGTGGGGTATTCTGTTTTCCACTATATACTTCAAAGGGCTCGGAAATGTCCCTTCTTGGATTCTACAAAAAGAGTGTTTCCAACCTGATAAATTGAAACACAGGTTCCATTCTGTAAGATAAATCCACACATTATGAATAATTGTAATAGCTTGTTTTTACATTTTATCTTGAGATATTCTGTTTTTCACTATAGGCTTCAATGAACTCAGAAATGTTTCTTGTAGATTCTACAGAAAGAGTGGTTCCAATTTGGTGAATCACAAAACAAGTTCCATTCTTTGAGATGAATCCACGTATCATGACACATTTCATAGATAGCTCGTTTCTAGTATTTATTGCGGGATATTCGGTTTTTCACTATAGGTCTCAATTGGCTCAGAAATGTGCATTTGTAGATTCTACAAAAAAATTGTTTCCACCCTGGTGAAAAAAAACATGGGTTACATTCTGAGAGATGAATCCACACATCACAAAGCATTTTCACAGTAGCTTGTTTCTAGTTTTCATTGGGGGTATTCTGTTTTCCACTATAGGCCTCAATGGGGTCAGAAATTTCTCTTCATTGATTCTACAGAGTGTTTTCAACCTGCTGAATGAAAACACAAATTTAAGTCTGTGAAATGAGTCTACATCACAAAGCATTTTCAAAGGTAGTTTTTTTCTAGTTTTAATAGCAGGATATTCAGTTCTTCCTTATAGGTGTCAATGGAAACAGAAACGCTCGTTCATAGGTTCTACAAAAAGAGTATTTCCAACCTGGTCAATAACACACAGGTTGTATTCTGTGAGAAGAATCCACACATCACAAAGCGTTTTCACAGATAGCTTATTATTAGTTTTAATGGTAAAGTATTTGGGTTTTTAGTATAAGCCTCATTGGGCTCAGAAATGTCCCTTCACAGATTCTACAAAAAGAGACTTTCCAACTTGGTGAATCAATGCACAAATTCCATTTGGTGAGATGAATCTACATTTCTCTAAGCATTTTCACAAATAGCTTGTTTCTGGTATTTATCACAGGATATTCGGTTTTTCACTATTAGCCACAAAAACCTTGGAAATATTCCTTTGTAGATTCCACAAAAAGAGTTTTTCCAACATGGTGAATCAAAATACAGGTTCAATTCTGCGAGATGAATCCACCCATCACAAAACACTTTCACAGATAGCTTGTTTCTACTTTTCATCACGGGATATTCGGTTTTTCACAATAGGCTTTAATGGGCTCAGAAATATCCTCTCATAGATACTGCAAAAAAGAGTGTTTCAAGCCTGGTGTAGCAAAACACAAGTATAACTCTCTGAGATGGATCCACACATCAAAAAGCATTTTAACAGATAGCTTGTTTCTAGTTTTTATCTCAGGATATTCGGTTTTTTAATACAGGTATTACAGGGGTCAGAAATGTCCCTTTGTACATTCTACCAAAAGAGTGTTTTCAACCTGGTGAATCAAAACACAGTTTCCATTCTTTGAGAAAAATCAGTACAACACAAGTAATCTTCAAAAATAGCTTGTATCTATTTTTTAATATGGGATATTCAGGTTTTCACTCTAGGCTTAAATAAGTTCAGAAATGTCACGTTGTAGATTCTACAAAGTAGTGGTTCCAAACTGTTGAATTAAAACACTGGTTCCATTCTGTGAGATGAATCCACAGATCACAAAGCATTTTCACAGACAGTTTGTTTCTAATTTTTATTGTGGGATATTCGGTTTTTCAGGACAGGCTTTACTGGGCTCAGAAATGTCCTTTTGTAGATTCTACAAAACGAGTGTTTCCAACCTGACCAATCAAAACTCCTGTTCCATTCTGTGAGATGAATACACTTATCACAAAGCATTTTCACAGATATCTTGTTTCTAGTTTTAATCGTTGGATATTCAGGTTTTCCATAAAGACCTCATTGGGCTGAAAAGTGACCCTACGGAGATTCTACAAAAAAGTGTTTCCAATCTGGTGAATCAAAACACAGGTTCCATTCTGTGATATGAATCAACACATCAAAAAGCATTTTCACAGATTTCACAATTGTTTCTAGTTGTTATTGCGCAATATTCGGTTTTTCACTATGGGCTTCAAGTACTCAGAAATGTTTCTTTGTGGATTATACGAAAAGAGTCTTTCTAAACTGGTAAACCAAAACACAGGTTTAACTCTGGAAGAATAATCCAAACATTACAAATCTTTTACATAAATATTGTGTTTCTAGTATTAATTGTGGGACATTCTTGTTCTCACAATAGGCTTTAATGGGCTCAGAAAGTCACCTCATAGATTCTACAGAAAGAGTGTTTCAAAGCTGGTGAATCAAAATACAGGTTCCCATTGATGTTCTTCACAGAATTAGAAAAAAACTACTTTAAATTTCATATGGAACCAAAAAAGAGCCTGTATAGCCAAGGCAATCCTTAGCAAAAGTATAAAGCTGGAGGCATCATGCTACCTGACTTCAAACTATTCTACAAGGCTACAGTAACCAAAACAGGATGGTACTAGTACCAAAACAGATATATAGACCAATGGAATAGAACAGAGGCCTCAAAAAGAACACCACACATCCACAACCATTGGATCTTTCAGAAATCTGATAAAAATAAGCATTAGGGAAAGGATTCCCTATTTAGTACTTGGTGCTGGGAAAACTGGCTAGCCATATGCAGAAAACTGAAACTGGACCCCTTCCTTACACCTGATACAAAAATGAACGCAAGATGGATTAAAGACTTAAACATAAGACCTAAAACCATAAAAACCGTATAAGAAAACCTAGGCAACACCATTTAGGACATAGGCATGGGCAAAGATTTCATGACTAAAAAACCAAAAGCAACAAAAGCGAAAATTGACAACTGGGACCTAATTAAACTAAAGAGCTTCTGCCCAGCAAAAGAATCTATCATCAGAGTGAACAGGCAACCTAGAGAATGGAAGAAAATGTTTGCAATCTATCCATCTGACAAAGGGCTAATATCCAGATCTACAAAGAACTTAAACAAATTTACAAGAAAAAAAACAAACAACCCCATCAAAAAGTAGGTGAAGGATATGAACAGACACTTCTCAAAAGAAGACATCTATGTGGCCAACAAACATATGAAAAAAAAGCTCATCATCACTCGTCACTAGAGAAATGCAAATCAAAACCCAAATGAGATACCATCTTATGCCAGTTAGAAAGGCGATCATTAAAATGTCAGGAAACAACAGATACTGGAGAGGATGTGGAGAAATAGGAGCACTTTTACACTGTTGGTGGGAGTGTAAATTAGTTCAACCATTGTGGAAGACAGTGTGGCAATTCCTCAAGGATCTAGAACAAGAAATACCATTTGACCCAGCAATCCCATTACTGGGTATATACCCAAAGGATTACAAATCATTCTACTATAAAGACACATGCACACATATATTTATTGCAGTACTATTCACAATAGCAAAGACTTGGAACCAACCCAAATGTCCATCAATGATACACTGGATAAAGAAAATGTGGCATGTATACAACACAGAATACTATGCAGCCATAAAAAAGGATGAGTTCATGTCCTTTGCAGGGACACGGATGAAGCTGGAAACCATCATTCTGAACAAACTAACATAGGAAGAGAAAATCAAACACCACATGTTCTTACTCATAAGTGGGAGTTGAACAATGAGAACACATGGACACAGGTAGGGGAACATCACACACCAGGGCCTGTCAGAGGGTGGCGGTCTAAGGGAGGGATAGCATTAGGAGAAATATCTAATGTAGATAAACACAGATTTTATTCCATGAGATGAACACACACATCACAAAGCATTCCCACAAATAGCTTCTTTCAAGTTTTTATTGCATGGCATTCGGTTTTTCACTGTAGACCTTAATGGGCTCAGAAATGTCCCTTTGCAGGTACTAAAAAAGAGTGTTTCCAACCTAGAGAATCAAACACAAGTTCCATTCTATGAGATGAATCCACACATCAAAAGGCCTTTTCTCAAGTAGCATGTTTCTAGTTTTTATCACTTGATATTCTGTTTTTCAATACAGGCTTCAATGGGCTCAGAAATTTCTCTTCATACAATCTTCAAAAGGAGGGTTTCTAACCTGGTGAATGAAAACACAGGTTCTATTCTGTGAGATAAATCCACACATTACAAAGCATTTTCACAGACAGCTTGGTTCTAGTTTATCGCATGATGTTGGGTTTTTCACTACAGCTTTCAAAGGGCTCAGAAATGTCCCTTCGTATATTCTACAAAAAGAGTGTTTCCAACCTGGTTAATCAAAACACAGTTTCCATTCTGTGAGATGAACCCACACGGTACAAAGCGGTTTCACAGATCTCATTTCTAGTTTTTATAAGGGGATATTTGGTTTTTAAATATGAGTTACAATTTGCTCAGAAATGTATTTTTGTAGATACTACAAAAAGAATATTTTTATCCTGATAAATCAAAACACAGGTTCCATTCTGTGAGATGAATCTACTCATCACAAATCTTTTTCAAACATAGCGTGTTTCTAGTTTTTATCCAGGGATACTGGGTTTTTCACTATATACCTCAGTGTCCTCAGAAATCTTTTCGTAGATTCTACAAAAGTGTGTTTCCAAACTGGAGAATCAAAACACAGGTTCCATTCTGTGAGATGAATCCACACATAACAAGCATTTTCACAGGTAGCTTCTTTCTAATTTTTATCGTGAGATATTCCATTTTTCACTATAGGCTTCAATGGGCTCAGAGATGTACCCTCATAGATTCTACAAAAAGAGTGTTTCCAACGTGATGCATCAAAACACTGGTTCCATTGTGTGAGATAAATCCTCATATGATGAACCATTTTCACAGATAACTTGTTTCTAGTTTTTATCGCTGGATATTCAGTTTCTTACAATGGGCCTCAAGGTACTAAGAAATGTCCCATTGTAGATTCTACAAAAACTGTGTGTCCGCTCTGGTGAATCAGAACAAAGGGTCCATCCTGTGAAATGCATCCACATATCACAAAGCATTTTCACAGATGGCCTGTTTCTAGTTTTTTGATGGAATACTCAGTTTTCCACTATAAACTGCAATGGACTCAGAAATGTCTTTTCATTGATTCTACAAAAAGCGTGTGTTCAGCATGGAGAATCAAAACACACGTTTCATTCTGTTAAAAGAATCCACACATCCCAAAGCATTTTCGTAGATACCTTGTTTCTAGTTTTTTTTGTTTTTTGTTTTTTGTGGGATATTCAATTTCATCTTATGCACATCAGTGGGCTTAGAAATATCCCTTAGTAGATTTTACCAAAAGACTGTTTCCAACCTAATGAATCAAAACACAGGTTTCCTTCTGTGAGATGAATCCACTCATCACAAAGCTTTTTCATACATAGTTATTTCTAGTTGTTATCACGGGATATTCTGTTTTTCATTGTAGACCTCTGTAGGCTCAGAAATTTCCATTTATTGATTCTACAACAGAAGTGTTTCCAACGTAGTGAATCAAAACACAAATTTAACTCAGTGAAAGCAATTCACATATCGCAAAGCATTTTTACAGATAGATACTCTCTAATTTTTATCTCAGGATATTCCTACTTTCAGAATAGGCCTCACTGGATTAAGATTCTACAAAAAGAGGGTTTGCAACTTGGTGAATGAAAACACAGGTTCCATTCTGTGAGATGAATCCACACATCACAAGCATTATCATAAATAGTTTGTTTCTAGTTATTATCGTGTGATATTTGGTTTTTACTATAATCTTCATAGGGCTCAGAAATGTCCCTTCATAGATTCTACAAAAAAAGTCTTTCTAACATGGTGAATCAAAACACAGGTTTAAGTCTGTGAAATGAATCCAAATATCACAAAGCATTTACAAAGATAGCCTGTTTCTGGTTTTAATTGTGGTATATTCGGATTGTCACTATAGGCCACATTCGGCTCAGAAATGTCCTTTGTAGATTATACAAAACAGTGTGTGCATCCTGGTAAATTAAAACACAGTTTGCATTCTGTGAGATAAATCCACACATCACAAAGCATTTTCACAGGTATATTGTTTCTAGCTTTTATCGGTTATATTCCGTTTTTCACTATTGGCCTAAAAGGACTCAGATATGTCCCTTTGTAGATTCTGCAAAAAGAATGTTTCCAACCTGGTGAATTAAAACACAAGTTCCATTCTGTGAGATGAATCCACACATCTCAAAGCATTTTACAGATAGCTTGTTTCTAGTTTTAATCGGGGATATTCAGTTTTTCACTATAGGCCTCAAAAAGCTCAGAAATGCCCCTTCATAGATTCTACAAACAGAGTGTTTCCTACCCGGTGAATCAAAACACAAGTTCCATTCTGTGAGATAAATCCACACATCACAAAGCATTTTCACAGATAGCTTATTTCTAGTTCTCATCATTGGATATACGGGTTTTCAGTAAAGACATCACTGGGCTCAAAAATTCTCCTCATAGATTCTACAAAAAGAATGTTTCCAACCTAGGGAATCAAATCACAGGTTCCATTCTGTGAGGTGAATCCACACATCACAAAGCATTTTACAGATAGCTTGTTTGTAGTTTTAATTGTGGGACATTCTGGCTTTCAGTAAAGGTCTAATTGGGCTCAGACATGTTCCTTTGTAGATTCTACAAAAAGAGGGTTTCTAACCTAGTGAATCCAAACACAGGTTCTATTTTGTGAGATAAATTTACACATCACAAAGCATTTTCACAGATAGTCTGTTTCTAATTTTTATCACGGAATATTTGGTTTTTCACAATAGGCTTCAATGGGCTCAGTAATGTCCCTTCCTAGAACCTACTACAGGAATGTGTCTAGCCTGGTGAATAAAAACAATGGTTCCATTCTGTGATATGAATCCACACATCAAAAGGCATTCTCACAGAGAGCTTGTTTATAGATTTTTATGTTGTGATATTTGATTTTTCACTATACACTACAATAGGCTCAGAAATGTCCCTTTGTAGATTTTTAAAAAGAGTGTTTCCAACCTGATGAATCAAGACACAGATTTTACTCTCTGAGATAAATCCAAACATCACAAAACATGTTCACAGATAGCTTGTTTCCACTTTTTATCATGGGATATTTGGCTGGGCTCAAAAATATCCCTTCATAGATTCTACAAAAAGAGCGTTTCCAACCTGGCAAATCAAAGCACAGATTCCATTCTGTGAGATGAATCCACACATTATAAAGCATTTTCACAGACAACTTGTTTCCACTTTTTATCATGGGATATTTGGTTTTTCACTATAGGCTTCAGTGGGCTCAGAAATGTCCCTTCATATATTCTACAAAAAGAGTGTTTCCAACGGGGTGAAACAATACACAGGTTCCATTCTGTGAGAGGAATCCACACATAACAAAGCATTTTCACTGATAGCCTGTTTCTAGTTTTTGTGGTGGGTTATTTGATTTTTAAATATGGGCTTCAATTTGCTCAGAAATGTCCTTTAGTAGATTGTACAAAAAGAGAGTTCCCATCCTTTTGAATCAAATACAGGTTCCATTCTGTGAGATGAATTCACACATCACAAAGCACTTACACAGATTTCTTGTTTATAGTTTTTGTCGAAGGATAATCGGTTTTTCACTCTTGGCTTCAATTGGATCAGAAATGTCTCTTAGTAAGTTCTAAATAGGGTTTACAACCTGGTGAATCAAAACACAGGTTCAATTCTGTGAGAAAAATCCACACATTACAAAGCAGTTACACAGATCACTTGTTTATATTTTTTATCCAGGGATATTCAGTTTTTCACTATGGGCTTCAAAGGGCTCGGAAATATCCCTTTGTAGATTCTACAAAAAGAGTGTTTCCAACCTAGTGAATGATCCAGGTTCCATTCTGTGAGACGAGTACACACATTACACAGTATTTTTACAGGTAGCTTGTTTCTAGTTTTTATTGCAAAATATTCACTTTTTCAGTATGGGGATCAATGGGCTCAGAAATGTCCCTTCGTTGATTCTACAGAAAGAGTGTTTCCAACCTGGTGTATCAAAACACAGGTTCCATTCTGTGAGATGAATCCACACATCACACAGCATTTTCACAGACACATTGTTTGTAGTTTATATCACAAGATATATGATATTTCCTTATAGGCATCAAAGGGTGCAGAAAGGTCAGGTCATTGATTTTACAGAAAGAGTGTTTCCACCTGGTGAATCAAAATGCAGGTTTCAGCCAGGCGCGGTGGCTCACGCCTGTAATCCCAGCACTTTGGGAGGCCAAGGCGGGTGGATCACGAGGTCAGGAGATCGAGACCATCCTGACTAACATGGTGAAACCCCGTCTCTACTAAAAATACAAAAAATTAGCCAGGCATGGTGGTGGGTGCCTGTAGACCCAGCTACTCAGGAGGCTGAAGCAGGAGAATGGGATGAACCCTGGAGGCGAGCTTGCCATGAGCCGAGATCATGCCACTGCACTCCAGCCTGGGCAACAGAGTGAGACTCCATCTCAAAAAAAAAAAAAAAAAAAAAAAAGCAGGTTTCATTCTGTGATATGAATTTACACATCACAAAGCATGTTAACAGGTAGTTTGTTATAATATTTATCGCAGGATATTTGGTTTTTTACTATAGGCTTCAATGGGCTCAGAAATGTCCCTTCATAGATACTACAAAAAGAGTTTTTAATGTTGTGAATCGGTACATAGGTATGTTCTGTGCAATGAATTCAGACATCAGAAAGCATTTTCACAGATACCTTGTTTCTAGTTTTAATCATGGGATATTCTGTTTTTCAATATAAGCCTCAGTGGGCTCAGAAATGTCTTTTCATAGATTCTACAAAATTACTGTTAACAACCTGGTAAATCAAAACACAGGTTCCTTTCTGTGAGATGAATATTCACATCATAAAAAGTTTTCACAGAGAGCTTGTTTCTAGTTTTGATTGTGGAATATTTGGGATTTCACTGTAGGCCTCAGTGGGTGCACAAATGTCTTTTCATAGATTCTACAAAAACATTTCCTCCCTAGTGAATTAAAGCACAGTTTTCATTCTGTGGATGAATCTACACTCAAAGCATTTTCACAGAGAGCTTGTTCCTAATTTTAATCGCAGCATATTCGGGTTTTCAATTTGGCCTCATTGGGCTCAGAAATATCCCTTGTAGGTTCTACAAAAAGAGTGTTTACAACCTGGTGAATCAAAACTCAGGTTCCATTCTGTGAGATGAATCCACTCATCACAAAACTTTTTCAAACATAGCTTGTTTCCAGTTTTTAACGCGGGATATTCTGTTTTTCACTGTAGCCCTCAATGGGCTCAGAAATGTCCCTTTTGTAGATTCTACAACAAAAGTGTTTCCAACCTGGTGAATCAAAACACAGGTTTAACTCTGTGAGAGGAATCCACACATCACAAAGCATTTTCACAGATAGCTTGTTTCTAGTTTTTATCACGACATACTAGGTTTTTCACATTAGGCCTCAACAGGCTCAGAAATGTCCCTTCATAGATTCTACAAAAAGTTTTTCCAGCATGGAGAATCAAATCACAGGTTCCATTCTGTGAGATGAATCCACACATCAGAGAACATTTTAACAGATACCTTGTTTCTAGTTTTTAATGATAAGCATCTATGGGCTCAAAAATGTTCCATCATAGATTTAAAAAAAGGGGGATTTCCACCCTAACCACATGTTCCATTCTGTGAGATGAATCCACACATCACACAGCATTTTCACAGATACCTTGTTTCTAGTTTTTATTGCAGGATATTCAATTTCATCTTACACGTCTCAATGGGCTTAGAAATATCCCTTTGTATATTCTACAAAATGAATGTTTCCAACTAGTAAATCCAAACACAGGTTCCATTCTTTGAGATCAATCCATATATCACAAAGCGTTTTCCTAGATAGTTTGTTTCTAGTTTTTATCCCAGGATACTTGGTTTTTTACCATAGGCTTCAATGGGCTCCAAAATATCCCTTCATAGATTCTACAAAAAGAGTGTTTCCAACCTGGTGAATTAAAACACAGATTCTGTTCCATTCGATTAATCCACACATCTCAAAGCATTTTCACACATACCTTGTTTCTAGTTTTTAACGTGGGATATTAGTTTTTTCACTGTAGGCCTCAATGAGCTCAGAAATGTCCCTTCGTAGATTCTTCACCAGAAGTGTCCAACCTCGTGAATCAAAATGCAGGTTTTATTCTCTGAGATGAATCCACACATCATGAAGTATTTTCGCAGATAACTTGTTTCTAGTTTTTATCATGGGATATTCAATTTTATCTTATGTGCATCAATGGACTCAAGAGTGTCTCTTCGTACATTCTACAAAAACAGTGTTTCCAACCTGGTGAATCAAAACACAGGTTTTTTTCAATGGCTTGCTTCAAATGTGTTGATGAGTAATGAGAACAATTTTGTTATATCTAACCATTATTTAAAAACTTTATTTAATTCGAATAAACAAGTGTGTGGGTAGAATGTAAGAGGTGAGATATATTTATTATATAGCAATAAGATTTGTTTAGAATGCCTGCCTTCTGTTTACATGACCTTAGTTTACCTGATATTTTATTAAGATCAAATTACCATCCATCATTTAAATGTTTGTAATTATCTATTATCTGTCTTTGAAATTTAACTTTTGTTAAACTGCTCTGATGAAATGGCACTTTGAAAAAAGGCAAGCAATAAATGCAACTCTGAAAATAGCAGGTTTTTAAATGCATAGTGACACGGTTTATTAATCACTGCAATGAAATTAACAGTGATTTAGCATAGTTAAGATGAAATCATTCAGTTCATGGGCTTGAAGAATATCAAAGAGATCTTTAAATGTATTAATGTGATCTAAGATAAATCTAGTTTTAAACTTTAAACATAATTATGAGGTTCAGTAATTTTCACCCTAAGTAAAAAATGTATTTGAAATGTGGGGCTTTGGCCGGGTGCAGTGGCTCATGCCTGTAATCCCAGCTACTCAAGAGGCTGAGACAGAAGAATCGCTTGAACCCAGGAGTCCAAGGTTGCATTGAGCTCAGATAGTGCCACTGCACTCCAGCCCAGGAGACGCTGTCTCAAAAAAAAAAAAAAATATATATATATATATATACTTATACATATTCCTTAGGAATCCAAGTAATGCATCTGAGAAACTTCAGAAAGAGCAAGTGAAAAACAACTATGTTTATTACGGACAAAAAGAAAGTGAAAGAAACTATGACATTGGATTATACACACAGATACCCAATTATGATTCATAATGGCTAGAGATGGTTATTCTACTCATGTTTTAAAAATAAATCACCTAAGACAGAGGCTTAGCTGCATTAAAAATCTATAAATTTTATTTAAATAAGATACCATTATAAGTTTAATTTTCAGGAGCTAAAAGCACAAATGTGATTATTGCTGATTCTCTTTTTCTAAAAATACATTTTATTGTATATATTTAAGATACAGAACATAATGCTATGAGATAGATATAGATAGCACAAAAGATTACTATAGCAAAGCAAATCAATGATCCATCATCTCACATAGTTATACATTTTGTTTTGTTTTGCTGTTTTGGCAAAACCAAATAAAATCTACTCATTTAGCATGAATCCAAAATACAGTACAATTTTATTACTTATAGTTCTCAGGTTGTACAACAGATTTCTAGATTTGTTCATCCCACTTATCTGCTAGTTTATACACTCTGACCTATTTCTCCTCATTTTCTGTCCCCTATCCCCAACACCTTGTAAACAAGATTTTGTTTCCTATCTGTTCATATTTTATATATATTTTTTCAGATTTCACATATAGGTGAAATAATGCAATACTTTTCTTTCTGTCTCTAGCTTATATTTTACTTAGTATAACATCCTTCAGGCTCATCTACGTTGCAGAAAATGGCAAGTTCCTATTCTTTTTTAATGTAAATAATATTCAACTATATATATGTGTATCACAGTTTTTAAAAAAATCAATCTATTAAGAGACAGGTTGGTTTTATATTTTGGCTATTGTAAATAATGCTGCAATTAACATGGCAATGTGATTATCTTTACGAGGTGGAGATTTCCTTTCTTTGGGTGTATGCCCAGAAGAAGGTTTGCTGGGTTATTTGATAATTCTATTCTTAATTTCTTTAGAAACCTCCATACTGTTTTTCATAATGGCTGTAACAACCTACATTTCTGTCAACAGTTGCTATGCGTTCTCTTTTCTCCACATCCCCGCCACATTTTTCAATCTTCTTCAGTTAGCATAACAGCCGCTCTAAGGGTTGTGAGACAGTATGTCACAGTAATTTTGTTTTGCATTCCTTTGATAATAAATGATGTCGAGCACCTTTTCATATGTCTTGGCCATTTTTATGTCTTCTTTACAGAAATGTGTATTCAGGTCTTTTGCCCATTTTTTAATTGGGTTATTTGTTTTCCACTATTGAGTCGTATGAGTTCTTTATAAATTTTGAATATTAACACCTCATCAGATTTAAAGTTTGAATTTTCGTTTCCCAATCCATAGGCTGTCATTTCATTTTGCTGATTTTTTTGTGTGTGTGTGCCTGAAGAATCTTTAACTTTTGTGTAATCTCATTTGTCTACTTTTACTTTTGTTGCTTGTGCTTTTGGGGTCATATCTGAAAAAAAAAAGTCATTATCCAGACCAATGTTATGAAGCTTTTTTTCCGTGTTTTCTTTCAGTACTTTCACAGTTTCAGGTCTTATGTTCAAGTTTTGCATGTACTTTAAGTTGCTATTTGCATATTTTGTGAGATAAAGGTCTAATTTCTTTATTTTGCATGTGGATATCCAGTTTCCCCAATACAATTCATTTTGTCCTTTCTCCATTATGTGTTTTGGGCCCTTTTATCAAAAATTAATTGCTGAAAGTGAATAGATTTATTTTTATGCCCTCTGTTTTGTTTCACTGGTGTATACATCTGTTTTCTTATGCCAGTATCATACTGTCTACATTACTAGAGCTTTTCAACAGAATTTTAAGTATGTGTGATGCCTCCAATTTTGTTTTTCTTTCTCAGAATAGTATTGGCTTTTCAAGTGTTTGTTTTTTTCAGCTCCACATGGATTTTATAATTATTTTTCTGTTTATATAAATAATGTCATTTGGGGCTGGGTGCAGTGGCTCATGCCTGTAATCCCAGCACTTTGGGAGGCTGAGGTGGGTGGATTGCCTGAGCTCAGGAGTTCACAACCAGCCTGGGCAACATGGTAAAACCTGTCTCTACTAAAATACAAAAAATTATTCAGGTGTGGTGGCATGCACCTGTAGTCCCAGCTACCCGGGAGGCTGAGGCAAGAGAATTGCTTGATCCAGGGAGGCAGAGGTTGCGATGAGCCGAGACTGCACCACTGCACTCCAGCCTGGGCGATAGAGTGAGACTCTGTCTCAAAAAAAATAAAGAATGTCATTGGGATTTTGAAAAAGATTGTGTTAAACCTGAATGTTGCTTTGGAAAATGCGGACATTTACAAAATATTAATTCTTCCAATTCATAAGAAATAGATATCTTTCCATTTGTTTGTATAATTTTCCAATTTTTATTACTGTTTTAAATATGTAGATTTGTATTAGTCCGTTTTCACACTGCTGTAAAGATACTCACCTTAGACTGGGTAATTTACAAACAAAAGATGTTTTATTGACTCACAGTTCTGCATTGCTGGGGAGGCCTCAGGAAACTTAGGAGTATGGCAGAAGGCAAAGGGGAAGCAAGCACCTTCTTCTCAAGGCAGCAAGAGAGAGAGAAAGAGTGAGGAAATGCCAGACATAAAACCATCAGCTCGGCCGGGCGCGGTGGCTCACGCCTGTAATCCCAGCACTTTGGGAGGCCGAGACGGGCGGATCACGAGGTCAGGAGATCGAGACCATCCTGGCTAACACGGTGAAACCCCGTCTCTACTAAAAATACAAAAATTAGCCGGGCATGGTGGTGCGCGCCTGTAGTCCCAGCTACACGGGAGGCTGAGGCAGGAGAATGGCGTGAACCCGGGAGGCGGAGCTTGCAGTGAGTCGAGATCGCGCCACTGCACTCCAGCCTGGGCGACAGAGCGAAACTCCGTCTCAAAAAAGAAAAAAAACCATCAGCTCTCATGACAACTCCCTCAATATCACAAGAATAGCATGGGAGAAACCACCCCCCTGATCCAATCACCTCCCACAGGTCCCTCCCTTGAAAAGGGGGATGGAGGGGATTACAATTCAAAATGAGATTTGTGTGGGGGCACAGAGCCAAACCATACCAAGATTTTTTCATCTCTTTGGCTACATTTATTCCCAGGTTCTTTTTTGTTTTGATGCTGTCATAAATGAAATTTTTTTTATCTTGTGGAGAAACTTAAGAATAATTTATATCTTTTTCAGTTAGGTAATTATTTATGTATAAAATGCTAATAATTTTTAAGTTGATTTTTTATTCTACAACTTTACAAATTTTATTAGTTCTTATAGTGTTTTGTGAACTCTTTGTGGTTTTTACATATAGAATTATATCAAATTATATTATCTACCACACAAGAAAAGAAATAAAAGCATCCAAATTGGAAAGAAATAGTAAAATTATCACAATTTTTATGTTCCTAATTTATAGCCACTAGTTAGGAAAGCAGGTTTCAAAGTAGCGTCATTTCTTCTAGCACACACACAAGCACATTTTAAACTTTTAAAACTTACATTGTTAACATCAGCAAGTAGAATTCCAAAAAGTGATCTTAATGCACCATTTATATTTATGTGTGCAACTTACGCTACTTTTCTGAAAATAGAGTTCTATGCTTGGTATTCTCTTTCAATTCTACAAATTGTTAAAACTTTGGATTGGGGCAGGGCGGGTGGCTCATGGCTGTAATCCCAGCACTTTGGGAGGCCTAAGTGGGTGGATCACCTGAGGTCAGGAGTTTGAGACCAGCCTGGCCAACGTGGCAAAACCTGGTCTCTACTAAAAATACAAAAATTAGCTGGGCCTGGTGGCGTGTGCCTGTAATCCCAGCTACTGGGGAGGCTGAGGCTGGGGAATCACTTGAACCTGAGAGGTGGAGGTTGAGGTGAGTCGAGATTGAGCCACTGCACTCCAGCCTGGGGGACAGAGAGGGTGAGACCCCATCTCAAAGAAAAGAAAAAAAAAAAAAAAACCTTTGGGTTGGAGTACACTATTTTATATTGATTTTCGTTGTTTCCAAAATGTCAAAATTAAATCATTCTAGAAGATTGTTTAACTTTTGAAAAATTTTAGATTTAGGGGGTGCATGTGCATGTTTGTTATATGAGTATATTGCATAATGGTGGAGATTGGGCTGCTGGTGTATCCATCAAGCAAATATTGAACACTGTACCCAATAGGTATTTATTCAACCCTCACCTCCCTCCTACCTTTCCCCCTTAGGAGTGTCCAGTGTCTATCATTTATATCTTCATGTTTATGTATACCCATTGGTATACATTGATTAGCTCCCTCATGAAAGTGACAACATATGAGATTTGATTTCTGTTTCTGAGTTAGATCACTTAAGATAATGGCATTAAGTTATATCCATATTGGTGAAAATGGCATGGTTTTATTCTTTTTATTCCTGCATAGTATTCCATGATATATATATACCACATTCCTTTAACCAGTCAATCATAGATGGACACATAGATTGGTTCCATGATTTTGCTATTCTGTATATTGCTGTGATGAACATACAAGTGCAGATGTTTGTTTACATAATTATTTATTTTCTTTCGGATACATACCCAGTGATAAGATTTCTGGATTGAATGGTGGCTCTGTTTTCATTTCTCTGACATATCCTCATACTATTTTCCGTAGAGGTTGAGCTAATTTACATTCCCACCAAGAGTGCATAAGCGTTCCCTTTTCTCTGCATCCACATCAACATCTGTTGTTTTGGGACTTTTTAATAATAGGCATTCTGACTGATATGAGATGCTATCTCAGTTTTAATTTGCATTTCTCTAAAGATTAGTGATGTTAAGCATTTCTTCACATTTTTGGCCTCTTGTATTTTAGTAATTTTATGCATGCCTTTTTAACCTCTTCTCTCCAAGTATTTCTGTAATTTTTTAAATTATCTAATACAAAATAGAAAATAAAGTTAAAATTGTTTTGAGTAGGCGTCAATAACAGTGGGCAGTTTTAACTTCACAGGCATTATTTACTCATGTACTTTTCCTTGTTGCTGCAAACACACATATGAAAGTCAACATTCATGTTTATATATAAAAATCTCAGATTTAATTTATTTATATATTATTTTATTTGTATTTTATTTTTTATTCTCATATGAGACAAGGCAAGTACCTTCCACCTATGAGTCTATAACACAGAAAACAAGTTAGTTACTTCCAAGATACAATGAAGATATAGGCATTGGGTAAATACTCCCATTCCAAAAGGGAGAAATTGGCCAAAGAAAGAGGCTACAGGAACCGTGCAAGTCTGAAACCAAGCAGGGCAGCCATTAAACATTGAAGCTACAAATTAATCTTTGACCCCATTTCCCACATCCAGGGCACTCTGGTTTGAGGGGCGGGCTCCAAAAACCTTAGGCAGCTGTACCCTTGTGGCTTTGGAGGGGCCAGACCCCATGGCTGCTCCCATGGGTCTGCATTGAGTGCCTATGGCTTTTCCAGTCACAGGGTGCAAGCTGTCCGTGGCTCTGCCATTCTGCAATCTGGAAGATAATGGCCCCCTTCTCATGGCTCCCAGTAGGCAGTGCCCCAGTGAAGACTCTGTAGGGGGGCTCCAACCCCACATTTCATCTCCACACACACATGCACACACACACACATACACAGAGACATACCCACACACACACTTCTGATTTTATCATAATTTCTATTTGTCTTCTTTTTATAAAATCTATTTTTGTCTCTGTGTTGTATTCTGTAGTCTTCTCAAATATATTTTCAACCACAATTCCAATCATATAGACTTAATTACCTCTTTGACTACCCACTGATTTTTATTTTTAACTATTTTGTTATTTTTATTTCATTGGTTTACTCGTTCATATCAAAGTAATTCTTTTTACCCATTTTAAATTAAATTTATAAAATGAATGTAAATTTTTAAGTCTTATGTTTTGTACTGTCTTGAAGTATATTGGAAGTATTTTCTTTTGTCTGTATTTTGTGTGGGTGTGGAATTAATACTTTATAGTAAACTACTTTATGTTTTTATTTTTGATAACATTTTCATACACAAATAACCCTAGATTTAAAGAGATTTAAGAGAATAGTTAGAAATATATTTTTCTATTCTCTTACATTTTGTAAGTATTTTAAAAAACTATTTTTCTGTTATTCTATATTTATTTAGTTCTTTTTTTTTTTTTTTTTTTTTTGCTATGTGTCATTGGGGTTTTACCAGTCTAGAATTCTAGAATTGGTTTGTAAAATAGCTACTTAGTTTGGAAATTCTTTATAGACAATATACATTTGGACTATTTGCTAATAAGTAATATATTTTGCTAATAATTGACATATAGTATATATACTGGTTCATTTCTAACCAGTATGAGTGTGTTTGTATATATTTATATATAGCTATGTCTCCCTCTGTTGCATGCAATCATAAATTTATTTTGGCTTTTCAGAATCTATGTTATTTGATTTATTTATTCACTTATTAATCTTTAATTTCTTTGGCAACTAATTCAAAATTTCCAGAGCCTTTTCTTTATGCTGTAGTCTTAATTGCAAATGTTGACCTGGTTTACCACAATGCTTCTGACCTTATACCCACCTTAAGTTTCAGGCATTGGTCATAAATATAGAATCTAAACTCCCCCGTTACACCACATTGGTTCATAGTCTGCAGTCTTTTGACTAATTGTCCTCTCTACCTAACTAGTTCTGCGAAGCGTTTATGATTTTATAAGAACATCTCCTTTTTACTAGGCTCTGCACTTCCAGAACTGGCAACCACTGCTATATTTATTTTTTAGCTGTGTAAATAGTATTTTTTTTAGTCTAAAACAATTTTGAATTAAAAATTGCAATATTGTCAGTAGACAATTGTCATATATGTTATTTCTTTTTAACCTATTTTTCTTTTATAACCAGTAAGTGATTTAAAATTTGCTTTTTTGTTAAAAGTTTTCTACCACTTTTTACACAGGCTGGTTGATGTGTTTATCAATCTTCACTTTTAATCAAGTCTATATTGAGAATTTCAGTATTATGTTTAAATGACAAATAAAATCAATGATTACTCAATTACCACTGAAAACACAAAGAGTTTAGTCAGACCTTCAAAAATTTATCATATGTAAATGCTGCATTCAATCTGTGTATATATATATAGTCTTTGCTTAAAAAAATTAGGTAGATATAGGACTATTAAAGATAATGTCCATAGAAAATTGACATATATTTTTACATTTTCAGTTCTTCAGAACTATTTTTCAAATTATAGAAAACTCAGGGGAAAAATGTTTATTTTGGAAGCTCTGGAGACCTTAACAGTGGTTGAATTATTAAAATGCAAATTTAAGACAATGCTATCTTCATTGATATACTTCCTATCAATCTAGAAAAATAGCTTGTAAAAATTATCATGTGAAACTTACAATTCTCAAAGGACTATCTTAATAGCTGAGCTTTTGTAGACTATACTGTTTTTTTTTAATTTTTTGTTTTTGCATAAATGACACTGGAGTCATTTTATTCTTTTCAACAGTATTACTCCATTTTTACTCGTAGCACAACACATTACCTTGTCAGGAAAAATCATCACCTAGCAGATCCAAGTATGTTTATAACATTTTTATGGGCTCCTTCTAATGGATGCATGTCATCAGAAAAATCATTTGGATATAATTTTTATGCTGCACAATGATGTTGCATAGTCTATATGAGATTTTCCATTTATAAGGATTACAAAAATTAACATATAAAGTGGGATAGTCCAAAAAGTGCCACATCATTAAGTTAAAGCATTGCACACCATACCCATTAGTTTAAGATTCTGTTGCATTTCTTTAGTTAAGCAATTTCTGTATGCTATCATACTTGCACGGAAAAGCACAGAAAAACAAAGAGCCATAAAACTTATTATTTGAGATACACTGTTTTGTTAAAGGTATTGTTTTGTTTTCGCTAATGTACCCAGCGCTCTTATTGTAGAGCCCTAAATGTTTCTCTGCTCTAAATAGTTTCACACCTTGTCAGTAATGAGGCCAGCACCTTGTTGGACCATATGCCAGTCTGAAAAAGATATGTCCTCCTTAAAATAGTCATTACCTTGAATCTTCGCTATTGAATTTTGTGATCTTTTACTTCATCAGGATATAAAGTTGTTCTTCATATGAGAATTGACTTTGAGAGTACATTGGATTCAGTACTTTTATTGCTTTAGTACACTAATAAACCTGGATAATAGGGTATCCACTTGTCCTCTCTCTTTACTCTCCAAATAATCTCATCTTGAATTGAACAGTTAGAATAATTTTATTTGAACATGTTTTTCATGTCACTAACTCTTTAAGAGACCATATGGAGTCTAAAAGAAATATGTATGGTATTTATATTAAATAATGTTAAAACCAAGATTCTCAACTTTGTCTCAGAAGAGTGCAATTCTCTGTTCCTGAGATCAACCTGATAATCTTTATTCTTCATTATCTCTCTGAGTGGTCAAATTACTGGAAAAAATGTGATTCTCTGTGCATATGTCTCTCAGTTTTCTTCACTAACTTAAACCAAGAAACTATAATAATACCATAATTATTATGTACAGTCAGCTTCTCAGTGTAAAATTCTTGTGAATAAGTAAGTTAGATGAGAAGGATGGTGTCAGAACCACTTAAACACTCAGGAGTCCTAAGTAATTTATTTACTCTACTAACTGTATCTGTTTGTAATGCATGTATTAATATGTAATGGGAATCTCAATTAAGAATGCCTTATGTCCCCAAAACATCCGTTTATCTTTTCAAATGTTATGTTATGAATATTTATCTTTCTGCCTCAATATCCTTTGCATTTTTCTCTTCCCACATGATTTCAGATGGATACTGTAGCTTCAGACATGGGCTCTCTAGAAAATATTCAATGATTATCACTGTTGGCAATTGGACTGATCCCTTAACAGAGCATATGGATCATAGCAAGAACACAATAAATACTATATAAATCAATAAAACACAAATTTAATTATTACTGCCATGTCAAATGATCTTATTGTACATCTTCAGTCTGACTATTCACTCAAAATACATGAGAAATTTGTCATAAAATTATCTTCATTCTTTTTTGTTTAAATCACACATTTATTTTTTTAAAAAATTCATACTGCCAAGTAAGAGGTTAACAATTGAAAGAAAACCAGTGAAGGTTTACTCAATGTGTAAATACATTAAAAATGAATGGATAAAAGAATGAGTGGGTGGATAGTGAAATTGTTTGATCCACTTAAATTGATGCAACTTTTATTTACATCAAATCAAGTAAAAATATGAGGCCTTCCATATTGCAATGGAAACCAGTAAAAGGCAACATACTAAGTGATTTTTGCATTGGAAAAACAGAACAATTTCCCACTAGGCTTCCAGGACCCTATTCCATGAGAATGGAAAAACTAATTATATGAACTCTGTATAATTTTTCCCAGTTTCCTCCTTTGAGCAATATGTATTCAAGTCTAATTACTTTGTCATCCTACTGATATTGAATCACTACATTTGACATATTTTACTCTGTGTGTATATGCAGAGCGCTGTCATTCTTATTTCAATCTTTCCTCTTTCTATTGTGATTCCTTTTTACACTTGAGAAAATTTAGGAACAGAAAGGGTAAGTGACTTCTCCAAAGTATGTAGCCAGAAAGTTGCCTAACTGGGATTCAACCCAATCTATCTAGCTCTATTGCTGTCAAACAAACACTACCTTCGCCCTTCGCTTCTTTTTCTTTTTACATCTCTTTTTTTTTTTTTTTTTTTTTTTTTTGAGATGGAGTCTTGCTCTGTAGCCCAGGCTGGAGTGCAGTGGTATGATCTCTGCTCACTACAACTTCTGCCTCTTGGGTTTAAGTGATTCTCCTATCTCAGTCTTCTGAGTCGCTGGGACTGTATACAGGTGCCTATCACCATGCCAGCTAATCTTGGTATGTTTAGTAGGGATGGGATTTCACCATGTTGGCCAGGCTGGTCTTGAATGCATGGCCTCAAATGATCCACCTGTCTTGGCCTCCCAAAGTACTGGGATTACAAATACGAGCCACGGCACCTGGTCTCTTCCTTTGTTGACTCCTCTTTTCAACTATATACTGTGAAATTACAGAGATGTCTGTAAGACAAATATTTCTCCCTTCATTTTTATTTTAATTATTTTTAAGACAGGGTCTTGCTCTGTCACCTAGGTTGGAGAGCAGTGACATGCTCATAGCTCACTGCAGCCTCAATCTCTGGGCTCAAGGGGTGTTACTGCCTCAGTCTCCCAAGTAGGTAAGACTCCAGGTGTGCTCTACCATGCCTGGATACTTTTATTTTTTAGTTTTCTTAGAGAGGGGGTCTTGCTATGTTTCCCAGGCTGGTCTCATACTCCTGGTATTAAGCAATTCTCTCACCTTAGCCTCCCAAAGTGCTGAGATTATAGGCATGAGCCACCACACCCACCCAGACAAATATTTCTAATAGGTGGTAGAAATGTATATTTTCAACCAAGAGGAATAGTAGAAGTTGAAGGAACATAATCAGAAGCCGTGAGCATGAAAGTGGGTTTGCTATGTCCACAGTAGATTTTCCTCCTCTTGCTCTTTCTCTAACATTCTTTTTACCCTTTTGCCATAAGATGTGTCTGCCACATTATGACATAGCAGGAAGGTCCTTGCCAGATAACAGCACCTTGATCTTAGACTTTGTATTCTCCAGAACTTGGAGGCAATATATCTCTTTGTGTTATACATTACTCACGTTTTTTGTTATAGCAGCACAAAACTAGGACATACACTTACCTAGATACTGAAATATTATTTATAATTGTCTCAAAAACCAAAACCTTAGAAACAATATTACTTACTGGTAATATAGGTTAAATTAAATAATTTCTGTATTTTAAGGCAGCCATAAAATAAAGAACCATAAAGTACGCAATGTAGATCTATACATACTCTGATGCTAAAAGATAGAGATATATTTTAAATAACAAAGAGCCATGTTTTATAAAAATATTCAAGTTCAGTCTTGCATATAAAAAATACATTTGTGCCATTGTGTATATAGGGCTATGTAACTATGAGTAACTAATATATGCAAATGGAAAGATACATAAGTTACCTCTGAGTAGTTGGACTGAGAGACTGCTTGAAAGTGGTAAAAAGTGAATCTTTTTCTCCTCATTCCCTTTAAACCTTTGTATAATTTTGGTTTATTTAATTTTCTTTGTGTATGTGTGTATGTGTGTGTGTGTCTGTGTATGTGTTTCTAAGATCATTTTACTTTCATGCAAAAATATGACAGAATTAGCTTTTAAAAGATCACCCAAAAAACAACACACACACACACACACACACACACACACACACACACACATTAGATTAAAAGGCATTTTATAACATCTGACTTACCAGTATTAGTATGACTTAGGATTTTAATGAAGTGGATTAAGCATTAATATTTTGAATAGAGTGCTACACTACACATATGTCACTATTTTATACAGTATTATCAAATTAGGGCTTGGGTTTGCCAGAAAATTCCAGATGGCACTGATGTACAAATTTCTCAAATTTACTACTGTATCTAATTTCAAGCTTTGGATAAGGTTGAAATATGGTATAAAATATCATTAATGCCCAAGGGCACATTGTTAAAAGACATGACATTGGACAACATAAAATTGTAGACATCTTGACAATCCACATCACTGGATTTTTAAAATTAATTATTTTTTAATTGATATATAATTATTGTACATATTTATGAAGTACATTATGATGTTTTAATGCATATATACAATGTATAATGCTCAAATCAAGGTAATGATATCTATTATATCCATCACTCTGAACATTTATAATTTTTGGTTGTTATTCAAAATCTCATCAAAATGCACCACTTATTGAATAGAGCATCTTTCTTCCATTGCTTGTCTTTGTCAGCTTTGTCAAAGATCAGATGGTCATAGATGTACAGCCTTATTTCTGGGCTCTCTATTCTGTTCCATTGGTTTATGTGCCTGTTTTTGTACCAGTACCACACTGTTTTTTTTCTATGGCCTTGTAGTATAGTTTGAAGTCAGGTAACATGATTCCTCTATCTTTGTTCTTTTTGCGTTGGATTGTTTTGGGTATTGGGGACATATTTTGGTTCCATATGAATTTTAAAACAGTTTTTTTTCTAGTTCCATGAAGAATGTTGTTGGTAGTTTGACAGGAATAGCACTAATTTGTAAATTGCTTCAGACAGTATAGCTATTATAATGATATTGATTCTCCCTATCCATGAGCACATTTTTTTTCCCATTCCATAGGTTGTGTGTTTACTTCGTTAGTTTTTTTTTGTTGTTGTTGTTGTTTTTTTGTTTTTTTTGGTTGTGCAGAAGCTCTTAAGTTTCATTAGATCCCACTTGTCATTTTGGCTTTAGTTGGGATTACTTTTGGTGTTTTTGTCATGAAATCTTTGCCCATTCCTATCTCCAGTATGGTATTGCACCTAGGTTGTGTCCAGTTTATTTTGTTTTGTAGTTTTCAGTTTTATATTTAAATATTTAATGCATCTTGAGTTGATTTTTGTGTATGGAGTGAGGAAAGGGTTAAGCTTCAATCTTCTGCATAGGGCTAGCCAGTTATTCTGGCACCATTTATTAAATATGGAGTCTTTTTCCCATTGCTTGTTTTCGACAGCTCTCAGGAAAACTTTTGGAGGCGATGCATATAAGTCTATTACCTTGGTACTGGAATTAAAAATACTATCACAGGTGTATGTATATGTTCAAACTCATCAAAATGTATACATTAAACATGAGCAACATTTGTATATAAATTATACTTTAATAAAGCTTAAAGGAATACAAATAGGATTTTATAAATTGACCTTGAGATTTGAGTGAAAATGCAAAGTTCATAAAACTTTTCTAAAGAAAAGTGACAATTACTATGAATCTGTCATATTGAAAATGGCATTTGTAAAATTGATTTTTTATTTGAATTATTTTAATTATGGATGAATTTAACCTAATGACATGGATTTCAGTACAAATTTTATATCTGACCATGTAAATACAGTAACAAATAATCAGGATACGTCAATAAAATATGTTCAGTACCCACTATGCATAAACATCAGGCTATGTCATCGAAGCATCAAAAAAAAAAAAAAAAAAGCAAAAGTGAAGAAGAGCTTATGGTCAAATGTATGGATAATTTTATCCTTATGTAGTAAGAGTCAAATAAAGCCACTATCAGATTACCGTGGAATTACAAAAGTGATACATTTTACCACTATTGTGGAAGTGTTTGAAGGCTTCTCAGAGCAAATAAAGGCTGAGTTCATTCTGAACAGAACCATCATAGAACAATTATAGATTTTATATATAGAGATACAAACACACATATATATACACACACGGTTGGATATATATAAATATATCTATATATATACACACACATTTTATATAGATTTGTGATATGATATAAACATAAATATATATGTTATATACACACATATATACACATGTATATGTGTGTGTGTGTGTGTGTGTATATATATTCTGAAATTTGACATTCCCAGGGAGGGGAGAGTTTAAAAGTCTGGGTTCTGTCAAAGAAACAAAATTCTCCATTGAGGCTATCAGGTATTCTGATATACTTTAAGACAGCAGGAGATTTTTCTGAAACAAAGTCAAAATGTGTCTTCAGATAGAATAAACATCCTATTCTCTTCATTACACTTTTTAAAACCACTTTATGTTCCATATTTATGTTATGTAGTTTATTTGCTCTGAATAAAAAGGAAAGAACTTCTTTTCAGGCACAGAAAGATTTACTACTTATATTTTCTCAAGCCTTGATAAAGAACTGGTATCATCATGCTCAGTCATGTATCATTTACAAACAGGGAAAATAAATAACAGTTGTTTGTCACAAATTTTATGTCTGTTTTTTCTTCAACAATGTGAATCCCATTGTAACCTAGAATAAAGGCATTGCCCAAATAGCATGGACATGGTTTTCTGTTAAAATAATAGCAAGCACACAGAAATCATTTTGGCTTTCTTTCTTAGATGGCCTTTGCAAATAATTCCACCATTATTATTTATATGTGAGAATGTTTCTTTTTAGATTGATATTGGTTTTTACAATTTAATTTACAATAAATTAAACTGGATTTCATTTTTGATGTTTACCATATTTTGAAAAGAATTCCAAATGCTATTAGAATTGATAAACAACTTCAGCAAATTTTCATGATACAAAATCAATGTACAAAAAATATTAACATTTCTATACACCAATAACATCCAAGGAGAGAGATGAATCAGGAATGAAATCCCATTCACAAGAGTCACAAAAAAAATAGAAAAAAAAAAGCCAAATAAACAGGGAAGAGAAGGATCTCCACAACAAGAATTACAAAACACTGCTAAAGAAATCAGAAATGACACAAGTGGAAAAACATTCCATGCTCATGGATAGGAAGAATCAATATTGTTAAAATAGGCACACTGCCCAAGTAATTAACAGATTCAATGCTGTATTAGTCAGTTCTAACGTTGCTAATAAAGACATACCTGAGACTGGGTAATTTATCAAGGAAAGAGGTTTAATTGACTCACAGATCTGCATGGCTGGGGAGGCCTCAGAAAATAGAATCATGGAAGAAGTTACCTCTTCAAAGGGAAGCAGGAGAGAGAATGAGTGCAAGCAGGGGAAATGTGGCATGCTTATAAAACCGTCAGATTTCATAAGACTAGCGCATTACAACAAGAACAGCATGGGCGAAATTGCCCCCATGATCCACTTACCTCCACCTGGTCTCGCCCTTGATACATGAGGATTATTACAATTTAAGATGAGGTTTGAGTGGGGATACAGAGCCAAACCATATCAAATACTGCTCCTATAAAACCCCTAACACAATTCTTCACAAAATTAGAAAAAAACTATTCTAAAATTCACATGGAACCCAAAAGGAGTCCAAATAACCAAAGCAATCCTAAGCAAAATGAACAAAGCTAGAGACATTATACTACCTGACTTCAAACTATAACACAAGGCTACAGTAAACAATACAGCGTGTACTGGCATGTACTGGGGTACAAAAACAGACACAAGGCTAATGGAACAAAATAGAGAACACAGAAATAAAGCCACACATGTACAACAATCTGATTTTTGACAAAGTCGACAATAACAAGCAATGGGGAAAGGACTCCCCGTTCAATAAATGGTGCTGGGATAACGGACTAGCTACATACAGAATATTAAAACTGGACCCTGCCTTTCAACGTATACAAAACAATCAATTTAAGATTAATTAAATTCTTAAACATAAAACCTCAAAGTATACAAATCCTAGAGGAAAACCTAGGAAATGCCCTCTTAACATTGGCCTTGGAAAATAATTTTTAGCTAAATCTTCAAAAGCAATTGCAACAAAAGAAAAATTGACAAGTGTAACATAATGAAACTAAAAAGCTCTGTACAGAAAAAGTGACTATCAAGAGAGTAAACAGACAAACTACAAAATGGGAGAATATACTTGCAAATTATGCATCTGAAAAAGGTCTAACTTCCAGAATCTACAAGATACTTAAGCAAATCATCAAGCAAATATTAAACAACTCAATTCAAAAACAAAGCACATAAGCAGACACTTCTCAAAAGAAGACACACAAGCAGCCAACAAGCATGTGAAAAAATACTCCACATCACTTGTTAGATAAATGCAAATCAAAACCACAGTGAGATACCATCTAACATCAGTCAGAATGGCTAAGTAAAAAAATAACAGATATTGGTGAGGCTGCAGAGAAAAGGGAATGCTAATATCCTGCTGGAAATGTAAATTCATTCAGCCACTGTAGAAAGTGGTTTTGAGAATTCTCAAAGAACTTATAACTTCCATTTGACCCAGCAATCTAATTACTGGGTATATACCTAAATAAATGCAATTTGTTTTAATGTAAAGGAACATGAATGTGTGTGACCCAGGCCAGACTTGAACTCCTGGCCTCAAGTGGTCTTCTGACTCAGCCTCCCAAAGTTCAGAATTGCAGATTTGAGCCACCGCAGCCAGCAAAAATTTTTAAATTTTATTGTCAGTGATCATCATTACTCCATTAAAGTAATGGACTTCTACTAAAGCTTGTTCTAGTATATATTACATTTATTTCTTCTTTAGGATCTATCATTTAAAAATCAAATATTTTGCTGCAACTTTTTTGTGTTTTCCTTCAGTAATTACTTTTTATATATGCATATGTCTAAAGTGATTATATTATTGTTTTTGTTCTAATCAGCAAATAAGCCAAACCAAATAAATTAAAACAAATTAAAAATTTTAACAAACTGTGCAAGAAGGAGCAAAAAATATTTTTAATGTGAAACTTATTTATAAAAAGTAAAATTGTGGTTAATTTTTAGAAGCAGCCCTATTTACCTTTGCAGATCATAGATTTGACATTTAAGTGTTTAATTATATATTAATTTTAACCTTTAATATAAAATTGATAAGTGTAATAAATTATTTCATGGGTAGATTTTTCTCTTAACATTGCTGGGGAAGATTGAAAGGGAATGAAAGAAGGAGGGGAGAAGTTGAGACAGGGTGGAGGGAGGAGGAAAGAAAGTAAAGAAAGGAAAAGAGGGGCCGGGCACAGTGGCTCACGCCTGTAATCCCAGCACGTTGGGAGGCCGAGGCAGGCGGATCATGAGGTCAGGAGATCGAGACCATCCTGGCTGGCACAGTGAAACCCCTTCTCTACTAAAAATACAAAAAATTAGCCGGGCGCGGTGGCGGGCGCCTGTAGTCCCAACTACTCGGGAGGCTGAGGCAGGAGAACGGCGTGAACCCGGGAGGTGGAGCTTGCAGTGAGCCGAGATTGCGCCACTGCACTCCAGCCTGGGCTACAGAGCAAGACTCCATCTCAAAAAAAAGAGAAAGGATAAGAGGAAGATGAAAAGGAGGGAGGGAGGGAAAATAGAAAGGGAAAAAGGAAAAAGAAATAAAAGAATGGGAAAAATAAGAGGAAGTTGAAAAAGGAGAAATAAAAACCTTATTTGGATGAATACGATACATTACTAAACATCAGGAAATATGTGAAAAATTTGGTATCAGTTACATGTGGAAAGACATGGCAAAATTTGGTATTGAAAATGTTTGATTAGATTGAAAACATAATGCCATTTGTTTCTTTCATTTTTCTTTTTTGATTTATTTTATCACATATTAAAAATCTACTCAACTTTTGTTTACTTCTCCTTAATCAGATAGTCTTTATTTCCTTCAAGTTAACCTGCATTAGGTATATATTCAGTAGCCTGGAAAATATGTATTTTCTATACACAGACACACAAACTCAAAAGAGTACTTCCAACAGTTTATGGGAAGATGGAATTAAAATATAAAAATGAAAACATAAACCCTAATTTTTAATGTTAGCTCCCAAAGTTCTGGGATTACAGAGGTGAGTCGCCATGCCCAGCCGAAAGTGACATTCTTTACTGACCACAGGTCAGGAACCCTGTACAGGGACTGAATAGACAAGAGTATGAGGCCAGTTTCCCCACTGGACTTTTATTGGCTCTGCAAGTCGAGCTTGACTCCTTAAATGGAAGCATATCATTCCAGTTAAAGCTTTGGTAAAATAACCAATTTTTCCAATTGGATCCTGTTGCAAAAGAAAAATGGATTTTTATTGCACTGATGCAAACAACTATATTGCCATAAGTTAAGAATGCTCACATATAGTCTCCAAATTCTACAGGAACCAGGCAGAGAGAAACAAACATGCTCCAAATTTGTTTATAGGAATATAACTTACTCAATTATTAAAGGCTGTAAATAGTTCAAAATAAGTTTCCTTGACTCTGCAAAATAAAACAAAGATCAGCAATATTCCAAGCAAAGGTTACATAGATTGCTTCAGTTTCTGAACTTAGTCCATTTAGTAAACTCTTGTTTTGCTTGATATTCATGAACATTTCAGCTATTTATGAGTCCTGTACATTTTCCTTTATTCCAATGTCACAAACTCCAAAGATATCAGAAGCCTGTATTTGAGAGCACCTGTTAAAGTTCTATAGTTTATTATAAACCATCTTTTGAAAAGGATTAAAACAAGACAACAGTTGTCTGTGAAGAGTAAAATGTCCAGGATAGTTACAGTTTGAAACACCATTGACAAAGAACTTTGGTTATCTCTGTGGCTTACAATAACTTAACATGACAACCTTACTTATGATTGATAGCATATACTTAGACATTAAAATTTTAGAAATCCCACACAATTTTGGAACATATATTAATTAGCATTATTCATCAAAATATAACCTAAAGAAGACTGAACATGATTTTGGCAATCCCATGTACCTAAATATGTCAAATAACCCTCTTTACCTCTCTTTTCTGGATGCCTCAGGAGCCCTCTGAAGTATCTCAAAAGCCAGGTGTCAGAAAATTCAATTTTGAAACTGAAATGTGATTTTGGGATGCCTGTTAGATATGTTTAAAGCACTGATATTAAGAAATAGAATTCCAGATTGCCATAAACGATTTATTTTGCCAAAATGATGACTCAGAAAATTTAAAGAAGCAAAAACCTTTTGTAACCATTTATAAATTTTGATAAAGAGCAGATTAGTGCCTTAAGAATACCTTGTTATGCTTTATTTCAATGCTCAATTTACAAAGAAATCATATAATATCTTTTTTGAATTTAGTCAGTATGTTCACACAGAGAACCTCATCTGCAAGATTCATTTCCATAATCTTTCCACCATTTGTTTGAACTTTCAGCTTTATCTTATTGAATTCAAAACAATTTTTTACCCTAGGCAAAAATTTAAATTTTCATGCCTTCTTATAACCTTTTACCAAAAAATAAATAAATAAATAAGATTTTACTGTTCTTACACACCTTGCATGTAAATCTATTTTCAGTAGTTTCAATTACATGTTTTAATGTTAACTCCTAGTAATTTTAACTTTAATGTGAAACCTGGTAAGTTGTTTACATCATGTTATACGTGCATAATTAAGGGCATAGTTAGTTCCATATGCCCCCAGGCCTTACCAGTTGTGAAGCAGGCAAGTCAAATAGTTTTCAAAACCCAAAAAGCAGTTTGTCACCTTAAGACACTTAGCAAATCTTCACTTTGACCTGCATAATGTATTCCACCTATTTACATTTTGAAGACATCTGCTTTTTACTAATAATCTTTAAGGTTGTTTTTATTTCTCAAAAGTTAAAGTCACATGAACTGAAAGGTACCACAGCTTTTATCTTCCCTTAAAAAAATTGTAGATCCAAGGGATTGTTTTTCTTTAGGCTAAATTAATTAGAGCTCTTTCTCCAGACATTATATACAACAGACAGACAGAAGAAAACCCAGTCCCCACAAGATCCTTTTTTTAAAACTGTAGCAGGACTAGCTTCAGACAAAACCCCTCAGACACCAGGTTAAAGAAGGAATAGGCTTTATTCGGCTGGGAGCGTCCGCCAACTTGTGTCTCAAGAACTGAGCTCCCTGAAGAAAGAGTTCCTGGCCCTTTTAAGGGCTTACAACTCAAAGGGGTCCACGTGAAAGGGTCATGATAGACTGAGCAAGCATGGGGTATGTGACTAGGTGGGGGTGGTGAGCAAGGCAAGTATTTCTCTATATCATTGTCTGTGATCTATAGATAGCACAAGCTGTTAGGTGGGGGTTAATCTTTAACCTACAGGCCTGGCCAGTGGGCCAATCAGTCTGTTATTTTTCAGTTTTTACTTCCTCCTTTTCTTTGGAGACAGCGGACAGTAGGAAAAATGGCCTCTCTCCTCACAACCAAAACTTTACAGAGAATATAAACAGTGATAGTTGGGGGGCCTGGCCTAGTAAAATGTCTTCCAACAGGAAAAAAGAATAACTTGCTTAAAAGTTAACGACTGACAGGGTGGGTAAGAGGAAAGAAAAAGTTTAAAAATGCGTGAGGAAGAACCTCTTATTTTATGCAAATGGCCCTTCCACCAGGAAGACAAGTTTAATTGTTGTCGGTCGAAGCTGGCCTCTCTGGCCAGGGGAGGGAAAGACTCCATGGGCACATGGCAGAAAATGCCAGTCAGCCAGGCAGGGTGCCTCAGGCCATGAGTCCCAGCCCCAGCAGGGAGGGAAGCCCAGTGAGGGAAAGAGGAAGCCATCACTCACCAGTCCATCCAGAGAAAGGGAGGACAATGCCATGGAGACTGAGGCTGACATTTCAAACCCCCGGGAGTGGCAGGGTGGGGGCAAAGTTTCCCCTGCCCTCAGAAGTTCAAGGATGAAAAGGCTTAGAAAGGACAGTGAGAGGTTTTGAGAACCCATTTCACTCACTGCTTCTCAAGTCCCTACCTTGCACACCAAAGATGTTGCAAGGCATTTTCCCTTAGTTCTGCTAAAGATGGGGTTCCTTATCACACAGCCATGAAAATTTAGGCTCACAGATGAGTTGAAGAGTGAGAAAAATGGGATTTATTTGGCAAGAAGGAAAAGAAAGGGAAACAGAGGCTCTTAGTGAAGCGAAAAAGTGTGTTTCCTGCCCGTGGGTTTCCTGCCTTGCAGTTTGAATCCCAGCTTCCACCCAGGAAAAGGAGGGGCCCGGCTCTTCCCCGCTGCAAATGGTGCAAACTTGTGTGGCTCCAGCCAGGTATGTGTTTCTCCCAGTGGGCAGTCTGTCAGGGGCTCTCCCAGTCAGAGGCTCTGTCAGGGGGCCCTTCTCACCTGGTTGTCTCAATTTGATGTTTGTTCATACTTCAATTTGTCTAGAATTCATGTTGCTCTTATAGGGGCTATTTTCAAACTCATGCTTTATCCTCAAACTAGATCCTGTTCAGACATGTTACAACAAATACTGGGCAGCCGAGGTGGGAGGATCACGAGGTCAGGAGATCCAGACCATCCTGGCTAACACGGTGAAACCCTGTCTCTACTAAAAATACAAAAAATTACCGGGGTGCGGTGGTGGGCGCCTGTAGTCCCAGCTACTCAGGAGGCTGAGGCAGGAGAATGGCGTGAACCTGGGAGGCGGAGCTTCCAGTGAGCCGAGATTGTGCCACTGCACTCCAGCCTGGGCGACAGAGCGAGACTCTGTCTCAAAAAAAAAACTAAAAAAACAAAAACAAGTAAATGTATTTTGGTCCCAAAAAAAGTTTTGAAATCTATTTATAGTTATTTGTGGTGTTTGTTTGTTTGTTTGTTTGTTTGTTTTTGAGACAGAGTCTTGCTTTGTCATCAAGCTGGAGTGCCATCTGGGCTCACTGCAACTTCCACCTCCTGGGTTCAAGCAATTCTCTTCCCTCAGCTTCCTGAGTAGCTGGGATTACAGGCACGTGCAACAACACCCATCTAATTTTTTTTGTATTTTTAGTGGAAACGGGGTTTCACCATGTTGGCCAGGTTGGTCTCCATCTCCTGACCTTGTGATCCGCCCGCCTCAGCCTCCCAAAGTGCTGGGATTACAGGCGTGAGCCACCGCTCCCAGCCACATTGTTATTTCTGAATACATGTTTTCCATGAAACTTTGAAGACCCCTTAGTGTGTGTGTGTATGTGTGTGTAAATGTGTGTATGTGTGTGTATATGTGTGTGTGAAATTTGTAACCAACAAAGTTACATATTTCTGAGCCATATGTATACATATTATGTATGTATAAATAAACATATTATCTAACTTTTGTAATTATTAACTTTTAATCATATTTCTACTTATTTGTCATAGATAAATAATATTAAGGTTGTTTGCTGGTACAATTATATTTCTGTGTGTTTTCTTATACTTTTGTAATAATCGCATTATATGTTTTGGTGTTAGGTTATCTGATGCATACATAATCTGAACGTATATGCTCCTGTAATTTTATTTTACTCATTTCAATTTGCTTAAAATCCCCCTTTTATAATATCTAATAGTTATAGTCTTAACTTTTATTTTCTATTATATTAAATGTTTATTAAGTTTCTTTATTTTTTTGAGACAGGGTCTCACTCTGTCACTGAGGCTAGAGTTCAGTGGTGTGATCACTGCTCACTACAGCCTCAGCCTCCTGAGCTCAGGTTATCCTCCTGCCTCAGCCTCCCAAGTAACTGGGACTACAGATATGTGCCAACATGCCCAGCAGATTTATTTTGTATTTTTTGTAGAGACAGGCTTTTGTCATGTTGCTCATGCCAGTCTAGAACTCCTAGGCCCAAGTGATCCTCCCACCTCAGCCTCTCATACTGCTGTGATTACAGGTGTGAGCTACCATCCTTGGGCTTGAGATCCTTCATTTGCTTATTTTTCTGATTCCTGCTTGCTTCTCCTTCCTTGTAGTACAGATTTGGATTCAGAGTCATTTTATAACTTTGATATTTCTTAAAAGACATATGAGTAAAATTTCTTAAAATTGTATTTCCTCATATATAAAGCACCTTCATGATTAGACATACTCTTATTTCATCTACTACTAAGAAAGCAAAAGCACTTCCAGTGCAATTATAAGAATTTTTTTTACTATATTTTTCTCATATAACATTGCCTTCTGTAATATCAAAGTTGTCTGTGATTCATCATTTCTTAAAAGAATGCTCTAGTACTGCCCCAAACATTTTGTCTCAATCATGACTCCCCTTACCCAAGTGTTCATGCTAGTGGTAATATAATGAAATGAAAATTAAATAGAAATTTATTTAAAATGAAACATAATTATTGATGCACATATTTCAAAGAAAGTGAAAAAATAATAATAGTTACATGCTATTTCACATCTGCCCAGGCAAATACAAGAATGGCTGTAGTCTGGCCAGCAAAAATATTTTAATTTTTCTTAATTTGAAAACTAATGCAATGTGAAAAAAATGATAACTTAAAATTGATGAAATACAGAACATGAAACATGTCACTAAGTAGGTGAGCTCTATGCACATTAACCATAGATGTAAGATTTAGTGCTTTTAAATTGTCTTTGACCAATCAGGATATATCCTTACTGGCTATATTTGGTATTTTGAATCACCTTTATGCACGTTGCTTCCAAATCATAAACAAGGCAATCTGAAGGGATTATTTGGTATTCTGATCCATAAAATAAATCAATAAATGAAACAAAATTAAATAAAAATTAATGTTCCAGCAGATGTCATGGTATTATTTCTACACACCTCCAAAAGACTGAGAACTTCATTTTTCTAGCTTCTTGGAATGTTGACAGAGAAAATTTCAACCTCAATTCCTCTCAAGTCCCTCTCTGGGATTTGCTGTCAGCTGAACAGAGCTGCGTTGTCCAAGGTGATACCCCCTCACCAGGGCAGCCTGCATGCCATATCTGGTGGAACACTCGTTTGCTTTATACAAATTATAAAGCATTACTTATCTTCTCCATAAACATCGAACTAATTTTAAAACTGACAATAACAAGGAACAAAATAATTATTGACATGGTAGAGGTAGAATTCATATAAGATATGCAAGCCAAACATGGATTCAATTATACTCCTGAAGAGGTTATAAACATACCCATTTTGGAAATAGCGTATACAGAAAAACAGATGTTTTGATAATAATTATCAGACAGATTTCCTGTTTATAATACACAAAAGTAATAGCTATTACAGAATCAAAAATGTAATAATAAAAAGACAAACTATGATGCTTCACTTGAAAAAAAGTAAATACAGATACATTTTTCTGCATTTTTCATGCTGCCTGCTCTAATGGATCACAAATAACTGAAATCTAGAACTTTTTGGCTAAACTATTTAATACATTTACCCCCACATGAAAGAATTATGAGATTCTGAAAAGCTTAATTACAACATATTCTTATTGAATATCTGAGTTAATATATAATTTAATATCAATTTATTATATTTAACAGACAGTGTTCTGTTTCTAAGGAAAATATAAAGAATGGTACTTTAGTAACATGTTATAATTCACATAGTTTACTCTCTCACTCCCATAATTGGTTGCCAATAGCATTACTTTTCCAGAAAGGATTGATAAGTATGTATCTATTTCCAAAGTAAAATTAAAATCTTATCTATAATTTTTTAAAAGGACACATAGTGTCCCACATCACTTTAAATAATTTTAGCCTATTTACCTTCTGTTCTTCATGATGTGAAACTACTGTTTGTTGGTTTTCTTTTCCACTTAGCTCATTTATTTAACACAATTTAACAGTTTTATATATATATTTTTCACAACACAGGCTTGCATATCAGCTTTTAGAAAATTAATATGAAAATACATGTAAACTATATTATTAATGAGGTAAGTGATCAACCTCGGGGCTAACAATGAATTCTTAAGGAATGCTTCAGATTTGCCTGCACTTTTAATGAAGCATAATAAAATTACTTAAGTTAATTATTATTGTGTAAACCACCCAATGCTCTGTGGCTTGTAACAATACTCATTTATTACTACAAAAGCATCTGCTTAATCCGTGGAGATTTGCTCTTCTAGGCAGGTCATGGCTAGGTCAAATCGACTCTGGTAGCTCTGCTGTCAAAGAGTTTTCTCGTCCTCTTAGGTCTATGATCTTTTCCTGGTGATATCAAAGTGGAAGCAAGCTAATGAAAACACTTGAGACTTTTTCAGGGCCCAGCTTGGAATTGGCTTACATTAAACTCAACAGCTCTTATATACCCTTGTCTTTGGCAAGTCATGTGGCCAGGTTCAAAGTCATGGAACTCCACCCACAATGAGGCCATAACATGGGTATAGATGCAGAAAGATGAGAAGAATCACAGTCAATAATTCAACCTATCACATACCCACACACAAACAACAACAAAACAAATTACCCTTACCCTAGTATTATGTTTGTGTGTGTGTGTGTGTGTGTGTATTTGTTTGCTTTAATGCTATAGTGTATAGCGAAGGCTTTTAACGTACCAGTGTTAGTTAAACATTTTAGAAACTTAAGAGTCCAGAGCTCTTTATAAACTAGTTTCTTCTCCCTAAGAATATAAAGTTCATAAAGCCCAGATAATAGACATTTATCGTATTTTTTATGAACAAAGGAAAAGCTTTTATGATATTGAAATGTATTGGAGTTCATTTTTATTTAATAAATTAACAGTTATTGGAATCCCCTACATGATCAACATTTCCTGGAATGTGTGATTGCAATGGCCTGTGTAGTAGATTTTATTGCTCCCCGACTTAGTTCTGTTTAGGAAGCTTCATGGGACATAAAGCATAAGCTGTATGGAGAGTACAAATACAGAGAAGGATGACTATGTTGTACTTTGAGTATGATGTAGTTAGAAAGGTTTACATGTACGAAATTCAGTCTTAAGGGAGTTCCAAACAGGCAATGAAAGAACAATAGCTGCTACCACAAAATTGCACTTAAGTACATAGCCCACAAACTGTAACTATAACACAACTACACAATTGAAAATACAAAATAACCAGCTAACAACTTCATGATAGAATCAAAATCTCACATATGAGTATTAACTTTAAATGTAAATGGTTTTACTTCCCAAATGAAAAGGTGCAGATCAACAAGATAGATTTAAAAAAAACACAACAACAACAACAAAAACAAAAAAAATCCAAGACCCATCCCTCTTCCATATGTAAGGGACTCATCTCAAACGTAATGACACCCTTGTCCTCAAAGTAAAGGTTTGGAGAAAAGACCTATCATCTAAATGGAAAACAAAAGACAGCAGAGGTCACTATTCTTATATTAGATAAAGATAAAACTTACTTTTTTTTTTTTTTTGAGATGGAGTCTCACTCTGTTATGCAGGCTATAGTGCGGTGGTGCTATCTTGGCTCACTGCAACATCCGCCTCCTGGGTTTAAGCGATTCTCATGCCACAGCCTCCTGAGTAGCTGAGATTACAGGCATGTGCCACCATGAACAGGTAATTTTTGTATTTTTAGCAGAGATGTGGGTTCACCATGTTGGGCAGGCTGGTCTTGAACTCCTAACCTCAAGTGATTCACCTGCCTCAGCCTCTCAAAGTGCTGGGATTACAGGCATGAGCCATTGCACCTGGCCAATACTTTAAACCAACAACAGTAAAGAAACACTAAGAAGGGTGCGGCACAATGATAAAAGGTTCAATGCAGCAAGATGACTTAAACTATCATAAATATATATGCACCCAACATTGGAACACTGAGATTCATAAAACAAGTTCTTATAGACTTACGTAGCCACACAATAATATTGGAGGACTTCAATACTGCAATGACAGTGTTAGATTATCAAGACAGAAAATGATTAACAAAGAAGATTTAAATTTGACACATGATCAATTAGACCTAATAATCATCTAATAAACAAGACCTGATAAACAACAAAAGACTCCATCTTTCAACCACAGAATATACCTTCTCCTCATCTGCACATGGAGCATGCTCTAAGAATGATGACATGCTTGCATATAAAGCAAATCTCAACAAATTCAGAAAAATCAAAATCATACCAAGCACACTTTCAGACAACAGTGGAATAAAAATACAAATCAACACCAATAAAACTTTTCAAAAACACACAATTATATGAAAATTAAACAACTTCCTCCTGAATGACTTCTGGGTAAACAACATAATTAATGCAGGAGTCAAAAACTTATTTGAAATAAATGAAAACAAAGACACAATATACCCAAATCTTTGGGATGCAGCAAAAGCAGTATTAAGAGGAAAGTTTATAATGCTAAATGCCTACATCTAGAAATCAGATAGATCTCAAATTAACAATCTGACATGGCACCTAGAGGAATTAGACAAAGAAGTAAAAACTAACCCGAGAGCTAGTAGAATAAAAGAAAGAACTAAAATTAGAGCAGAATTGAATGAAATTAAGATTTAAAAATCCATACAAAGGGTAAATGAAGCCAAAAGCTGATTCTTTGAGAGGATCAACAAGACTAATCGACCACTAGCTAGATTAATGATGAAAATAAAGAGAGAAGATCCCAATAAGCACAATCAGAAACAACAAAGGTGATGTAACAACCGGTACCAAAGAAACACAAAAGATGCTCAGAGGCTATTATGAATACCTCTGTACACAAACTAGAAAGTCTAGAGAAAATGGGTAAGTCTCAGAAACTCCCAAGACTGAATCAGAGAGAAATAAAAATGCTGAGCAGGCCAACAGTGAGTTCAAAAATTGAATCAGTAGTAAAGAACCTACCAGCCCTGAATATACTTGTTAATTTTCCGTCTCGTTGGTCTGTCTAATATTGACAGTGGGGTGTTAAAGTCTCTCGCTATTATTGTGTAGGAGTCTAACTCTCTTTGTAGGTCTCTAAGAACTTGGGTTATGAATCTGGGTGCTCCTGTATTGGGTGCATATATATTTAGGATAGTTAGATCTTTTTGTTGCATTGATCCCTTTACCATTATGTAATGACATTTTTTGTCTCTTTTGATTTCTGTTGGTTTAAAGTCTGTTTTATCAGAGACTAGGATTGCAACCCCTGTCTTTTTTTTTTTTTTTTTTTTTTTGCTTTCCATTTGCTTGGTAAATATTCCTCCTTCCCATTATTTTGAGCCTATGTGTGTCTTTGCACGTGAGATGGGTCTCCTGAACACAGCACACCGATGGATCTCAACTCGTTATCCAATTTACCAGTCTGTGTCTTTTAATTGAGGCATTTAGCCTATTTCCACTTAAGGTTAATATTGTTACGTGTAAATTTGATCCTGTCATTATGATGCTAGCCAGTTGTTTTGCCTGTTAGTTGATGCAGTTTATTCATAGTGTTGATGGTCTTAAGGGCTTGAACTCAGCTCTGGACCAAGGGGACCTAAGAGACCTCTGCAGAACCCTCCACCCCAAATCACCAGAATATACATTCTTCTCAGGACCACATAACACTTATTCTAAAATTTACCACATAATTGGAAGTAAAACACTCTTCAGCAAATGCAAAATAACGGAAATAATAAGAAACAGTCTCTCAGACCACAGTGCAATCAAATTAGAACTCAGGATTAAGAAACACACTCAAAACCACACAACTACTTGGAAACTGAACAATGTGCTCCTGAATGACTACTGGGTAAATAACAAAATTAAGGCAGAAATAAAGAAGTTATTTGAAATCAATGAGAACGAAGACACAATGCACCAGAATCTCTGGGACACATTTATAGCAGTGTTTAGAGGGAAATTTATAGCAGTAAATGCCCAAGAGAGAAAGCAGGAAAGATCTAAAACCGACACCCTATCATCACAATTAAAATAACTAGAGCAGCAAGAGCAAACAATTTCAAAAGCTAGCAGAAGACAAGAAACAACTAAGATCAGAGCAGAACTGAAGGAGATAGAGACACAAAAAATGCTTCAAAAAATCAGTGAATCCAGGATCTGGTTATTTGTAAAGATCAACAAAATGTATAAACTTCTAGCCAGACTAATAAAGAAGAAAAGAGAGAAGAATCAAATAGATGCAATAAAAAATGATATAGGGGATATCACCACTGATCCCACAGAAATACAAACTACCATCAGAGAATACTATAAACACCTCTACACAGATAAACTAGAAAATCTAGAAGAAAAGGATAAATTCCTGGACACGTATATCCTCCCCAGTCTAAGCCAGGAAGAAATGGAATCAGTGAATAGACCAATAACAAGCTCTGAAATTCAGGCAGTAATTAATAGCCTACCAAGCAAAAAAAGTCCAGGACCAGATGAAGTCACAGCCGAATTCTACCAGAGGTACAAAGAGGAGCTTGTACCATTCCTTCTGAAACTATTCCAAACAATAGAAAAAGAGGGAATCCTCCCTAACTCATTTTATTAGGACAAAACCTGGCAGAGACACAACAACAAAAAAAGAAAATATCAGGCTAATATCCCTGATGAACATCAATGTGAAAATCCTCAATAAAATACAGGCAAACCGAATCCAGCAGCACATCAAAAAGTGTATCCACCACAATCAAGATGGCTTCATCCCTGGGATGCAAGACTGGTTTAACATTCACAAATCAATAAATGTAATCCATCACATAAACAGAACCAACAACAAAAACCACATGACTATCTCAATAGATGCAGAAAAGGCCTTCGACAAAATTCAACAGTTCTTCATGATAAAAACTCTCAATAAACTAGGTATCAATGGAACATATCTCAAAATAATAAGAGCTATTTATGACAAACCCACAGCAAATATCATACTGAATGGGCAAAAACTGGAAGCATTCCCTTTGAAAACTGGCACAAAACAAGCATGCTCTTTCTCACAACTCCTATTCAACACAGTATTGGAAGTTCTGACCGGGGCAATCAGGTGAGAGAAAGCAATAAAGTGTAATCAGATAGGAAGAGAGGAAGTCCAATTGTCTCTGTTTGCAGATGTCATGATTCTATATTTAGAAAAACCCATTGTCTCAGCCCAAAACCTCCTTAAGCTGATAAGCAACTTCAGCAAACTTGCAGGACACAAAATCAGTGTGCAAAAATCACAGGCAATCCTATACAACAATAACAGACAAACAGAGAGCCAAATCATAAGTGAACTCCCATTCACAATTGCTGCTAAGAGAATAAAATACCTAGGAATACAACTTACAAGGGATGTGAAGGACCTCTTCAAGGAGAACTAGAAACAACTGCTCAAGGAAATAAGAGAGGACACAAAAAACTGGAAAAACATTCCACGGTCATGGATAGGAAGAATCAATATCGTGAAAATGGCTATACTACCCAAAGTAATTTATAGATTCAATGCTGTGCCCATCAAGCTACCACTGACTTTCTTCACATAATTGGATAAACTACTTTAAACTTCATATGGAACAATAAAAGAGCCTGCATTGCCAAGACAATCCTGGGCAAGAAGAACAAAGCTGAAGGCATCATGCTACCTGACTTCAAACTATACTACAAGGTTACAGTAACCAAAACAGCATGGTACTAGTACCAAAACAGATATACAGACAAATGGAACAGAACAGAGGCCTCAGAAATAACACCACACAGCTACAACCATCTGATGTTTGACAAACCTGACACACACAAGCAATGGGGAAAAGATTCCCTATTTAATAAATGGTGTTGGGAAAACTGGCTAGCCATATGCAGAAAACTGAAACTGGACCCCTTCCTTACATCTTTTACAGAAACCGACTCAAGATGGATCAACGACTTAAATGTAAGTCCTATAACCATAAAAATCCTAGAAGAAAACCTGGGAAATACCATTCAGGGCATAGGCCTGGGAAAAGACTTCATTTCTAAAACACCAAAAGCAATGGCAACAAAAGCCAAAATTGATAAATGGGATCTAATTAAACTAAAGAGCTTCTGCACAGCAAAAGAAACTATCATCAGAGTGAACAGGCAACCTACAGATTTGGAGAAAATGTTTGCAATCTATCCATCTGACAAAGGGCTAATATCCAGAATCTACAAAAAACTTAAACAAATTTACCAGAAAAAAAAAAAACAACCCCATCAAAAAATGGGCAAACGATATGAACAGACACTTCTCAAAAGAAGATATTTATGTGGCCAACAAACATAGGAAAAAATGCTCATCATCACTGGTCACTAGAGAAATGCAAATCAAAACCACAATGAGATACCATCTCATGCCAGTTAGAATGGCAATCAATAAAATGTCAGGAAACAACAGATGCTAGAGAGGATGTGGAGAAATAGGAATGCTGTTGTTGTAGGTTATACTGTAGGTGGGAGTGTAAATTAGTTCAATCATTGTGGAAGATAGCGTGGTAATTCCTCAAGGATCTAGAGCTGGAAATACCATTTGACCCACAAGCCCATTACTGGGCATATACCCAAAGGATTACAAATAATTCTACAATAAAGACACATGCATACTTATGTTTATTGTGGCACTATTCACAATAGCAAAGACTTGGAACCAACCCAAATGTCCATCAATGATAGACTGGATTAAGAAAATGTGGCACATATACACCATGGAATACTATGAAGCCATAAAAAATGATGAGTTAATGTCCTTTGCAGGGACATGGATGAAGCTGGAAACCATCATTCTCAGCAAACTATCACAAGATCAGAAAACCAAACACTGCATGTTCTCACTCATAAGTGGGAATTGAACAATGAGAACACATGGACACAAGGAGGGGAACATCACATGCCAGGGCCTGTTGGGGGATGGGGGGCTAAAGGAGGGATAGCATTAGGAGAAATACCTAATGTAGGTGACGGGTTGATGGGTGCAGCAAACCACCAGGGCATGTGTATACCTATGTAACAAAACTGCATGTTCTGCACATGTACCCCAGAACTTAAAGTATAATTTTTAAAAAAAGTTCATTCACCATCATCAAGTTGGTCTTATTCTTGGGATGCAGGATTGGTTCAATGTGCACAAATAAATAATGTGATTGACCACATAAAAAGAATTAAAAACAAAAGACATATGATTGTCTCAACAGACACAGAGAAAGCTTTTGATAAAATCTAACATCCCTTCACAGTAATAACTATGAATAACCTCAGTAAGCTAAGCATCAAAAGAACATACCTCAAAATAGGTACATGGGACTTTGACAAGCCCCCAGCCAACATCATAGTGAGTGTGCCAAATCTTGAAGCATTCCCGTTAACAACTGGAACAAACAAGGATGGCCACTCTCATCATTCCTATAAACAGCATGGTACCAGTACTAAAACAGAAACATAGACCAATGGAACAGAATAGAGAACCCAGAAGTAAAGCCACACACCTACAATCTTCTGATTTTTAACAATTACAATAAAACAAGCAATGGAGAAAGACCTTCGTATTCAGTAAATAGTGCTGGGATAAATCACTATGAATACAAAGAAGAATTAAACTGGACCACTAACTTTCAGCATATACAAGAATTAACTTAAGATGGATTAAAAACTTAAATGTTCTGCCTAAAACTATAAAATACTAGACTAAAACATAAGACTAGACTAAAACGTAAGAAATACCAGTCTAGACATCAGCCTTGGCAAAAAAAAAAAAAAAAAAAAGTATGATTATGTCCCCAAAATCAATTGCAACAAACACAAATTTAACACATGGGACCCAATTAAACTAAAGAGTTTCTGTACAGTAAAATAAACTATCAATGGAGTAAATAGACAAATTACAGAATGGAAGAACATATTTGCAATCTTTGTATTCATCAAAGATCTAAAATCCAGAAATCATAAGAAACTTAAAGTATTCAACAAGAAAATAACAAATAACCACATTAAAATATGGTCAAAAGTCATGAATAAACACTTTTTTTAAAAAAGGCATACATACCGCCACGAATATATAAAAAATGCTCAACATCACATTAATCATTAGAGAAATGCAAATAAAAGCCACATTGAGATGACATCTCACAGCAGTCCAAATGGCTACTATTAAAAAGTCCAAAAAATAACAGATGTTGGCAAGGTTGTGGAGAAAACGGAACACTTATATACTCCTGGTGCAAATGTAAATTAGTTCTGCCACTGTGAAATGCAGTTTGGAGAATTCTCAAAGAACTTACAACAAATCTACCATTCAATCCAGCAATCCCATTACTAGGTATATATCCAAAGCAAAATAAATCATTATACCAAAAAGGCACATGCTCTTGTATGTTCATTGCAGCACTATTCACAATAGTAAAGACAAGGAATCAACCTAGATGTCCATCAACAGTATGGACTGGCTAAAGAATATGATTTTATATACCATGGAATACAATGAGAATAAAATCATGTCATTTGCAGCAACATGGTTGCAGCTGGATGTCATAATTCCAAGTGAATTATTCCAGGAAGAGAAAATCAAATACTACGTGTTGTCACTTTAAGTGGGAGCTAAATATTGAATATATATGGACATAAAGGTGGAAACAGCAGACACTAACATCTACTAGAGGTAGGAGGGAGAAAAAGGTTGAAACATACCTATTGGTTACTGTATTCATTACCTGGGTTACGGGATCATTCATATCCCAAATCTCAGCATCACACAATATACCCATGTAACGAAATTGCATATGTACCCTCCAACCTAAATTAAATTTGAAAAAAAAATAGACTTTGACATAAAATAAAAATAAAAAAAGAAGTCAAATATTTATTTTATTTGGATATTATAGTTACTTTTTCTAAGATGTCTAATATTCTGATGCAAATGTAATGGAAAATAGACAATATCAATGATTACAAAAATTCAGATGGGAGTTCACAATAGTATTTTTTTGAGCAGCAGCATGGGAGAAAGACAAATGTGAAGTCTGAGTGTCATAAAAGAGGCAGAATCAACATGGCTTTGGGACCGACTGGGAAAGGGAGTGGAGGAGTGAAAGTCAAGTATGATGCTCTGGTTTAAACTCAAATAACTAAAAAGAGAATGCCAGTAGAAGAGCAGGTTTGGGAGAGGTTGGCAAGGTTAAAATTAGATGATTATCTCATAATTCCCCATAGATATTCAAATAAGTGTTTTCATGAGCCATCAGACATATTAATCTAGAGCTTATGAGAGCAATTAGAACTGAGGATATAGATTTTGGGACATGTGAATAAAGGTGGTAGAAACAACAAAATGTTAGATGAGATGCAAGAAGCATGGAACAATTGAGATGAGAAAATGAGACACAGAAAAGTCTGAGGACCGTCAACTTTAAAGACTCAGATATAGGATGAGGCTTTTACAACAAATATGGGAGAAATATGGAGGATAAAGTGATTAATTTTATTATTTTTGAGTTTATCTATATGTTTTATTATCCTGCATTCAGTTAAGATTAATGGAAAAAAATGACCTCCATTTGCTGCAAAATCAATTAGATAAATTTTCTAATATATATTTTAAGTCTTTTCAACTCCAAAATTATTCTTTATTTTGCTAGATAGTTTTTAGGATAGAGTCCTAAAAACTTTGGGGGTAATTTTATGGTTTCATTTGGTTAGTGTTAAAACCACAAGCCATTGCTACATCTGCACTGCAAACCTGTTTTGTGCACACAGGATGGGGTAGTACCTCATTCCTGCTTGACCAAGAGGATTCCACCTTTTGTTCATGGTAAATTGCAAGCTTTGAAAGGCATTGGCTTTCCACAGTATGTTTGAGACTAGGCAAATGAAAAATAATTACTGTAGAACTCAAATATCTCAAAATTCCTGGTTTTTACCACTCCTATTTGTCATCTGGTTATATTTAGAGTGCTGTGTTAATTCCAGATAAATGTCATAAAATATTTCACTCATATAAATGATGAGTTTTTTTGAAGCATAAGCATCTACTTCATTCTGACCACATCATGTAGTGATATTCTATTAAGGAGCCCATTCGGCTTCATGCCAAACTCCAATACTGAGAGTGCAACCATGTTTATCGACAAGTCCTTCTTTACAGAGGAAATATATGCTAAAAGCCTGCAGATCAATTTAGCCACTTTGAAACAAATCAGCTTTGATTTTGTAAAAACTTAATAAAATAACTGTATTATTTCCAAATGATGTGAATTTTCTTTAGATCCTAGTAAAATGGTTTTCCAGAAGCATGCCTCACAGCTTTTGAGTATTTACGGCTGCCCCTGATTTCTCTTCCCTGTGCTACTACAGGGTTTAACTTCTACCAGAATCTCACTGTGAAGCCTAGAAAACAAATTGTCAAATATCACTCTCTTCTAGTCCCAAATTCAAGTTACCCTACAGATATCTCACACTGTTCATCCCTGGAAGTTTTTCTTGATGTTAGGGCATTTTGATACCCAATTCTCCACATCCTGAACACCCTCATCTGAAGAAATAGGGTCCTTCTTATTGAAATATTTCAAGTAGTAGCATTTTAAAATTTTATTTATTTCCATCATTTTTTTTCTACCAATGTGTTTGAGCTTCAGCTTTTTTCTTTCATGTTTTATACATTTTATTTTCTTTAACTATTATGACTGTTGCATTAAGTTGATATTAGAAGAGTTTTTTCAAAGCTCCTTCCAACTCTCTACATAATGGAGGAAATTGTATCTTTGTGTCCTATTCACAGACCTAGCAGAAAGAAAAACGTATCTGCTCTGCGCAGACTTTAACCATTACCTGAATTTTTTAACAATTAGCAATATTTAGTGAGAGCTTTCTATTTTCCAGGCACTGTTCTTATTGTTTTACAGGAACTATCTAATTAAATGCACTGTATATGTGAATTTACTCCTATAGCTCTATATATTTCGCACTGTCTTTAAAGAAATACCTGAGGCACACAAAAATTGCTTGCTAATCATCAGTACAGTCAGAATTTGCAAGAGATTTCCTAAGATATTATATATTATTTTATTAAATATTATGTAATGGTGCCTTTTCTTACATTTAAAAGAAAATATTTGGAGTATCCATTACTTCAAGATCGAAAACATATATATGCACTTCTCAAATCATGAGCCCGAGTTCCCACTTTATCACTTTGAATTAGATCATTATGCAGATTTAATTCATATAATATATATCTTTTTGTTTTTGAAATTCTACAAAATAATTGAGATGTTTTTGATATTTTTGAATGTATTAAGCTGATTTCTTCTTAGAACATCTTACAAATTAAGGTTTTCCAAACCTTAATGAAAAAACCTAATTGATCCTTTGATCAATTCACTGTCATTCCATGTACATATACTACATCCACTTATACAAATGTTAAAAGAGTGCTACACAAGCATCACTTGTTGGTATCCTCGATTGAATGCTGTTGCTTTGTCTTCATCCTTGCTGTTAATGAGAAGCCTGAAAAAAATTCAAAGATCGGTTTGGGTTTCCAAAGAGTCATAGAGAGCTTCTAAAGCATCACATAGAGCTATTGTAGAAGCTATTCAATGAGAAGGAAAGTAGAAATGCCAGAAAGGTTATTTTTTCATTGCAAGAAAATGTTTTACTGAATTTATCAAATATGCACTGAATTCTTACTCTATCATCTGTCTGTCACTGTGCATCAGAGGTCAACTGGATAGTAATGACATTATTGCAGGGTGATAAACAAGGTGCCGTCGCTCTTTGTTCCTATGGGAAGACACAATTTACCAATTACATTTTCAAATGTTTTTTATAATACTGCACTGAGCTGAATTTATGCTTAATTGATGAAAAAGACAAAAGGAACAGAAAGAGTTTTGAAAGTAAATATGTTTTTTAATAAACTATGCTATATTTTCTTCTTACATCTTTTACCTTCAAGGGTTTGCAATGTAATTACATAATTATTTCTCCAAATTATATATTCCATATTATCATTTTACAATGTTTCCAAGGAAATGTGACCTGTTTTGTTAAACAAACAGGAAAACAATAAATAATTAGTTAATTATGTAAGCATGGAAAATGAAGTGTCATTTATTTAACATGGGTACAGGAAACAGGGAGAAGAAAACGGGAGAAGTGAGAGTAAAGAGGAAACAAGTAACACATGCTCAAACCTTTCTAAAATAAAACAGGCATGATTATTATGATCTTGTTTATGTAAGATTATACACATGCACACACACGCACACTCACATCATCTCTGTCTATGTATAAACATTTGAACATTTTGAAGATTCAAATATATGCAGAATTATGAATGCTCATCTTCTGGTTACATTTCCAAAATAGTTTCAGAGAAATGTAAGGATTACATGTTAGTTAAAAAGAAAAAAAAAAGAAAAAAACAAGGCAGGGAAGATATTTTAAGGAATATGGATAAATAAAATGTATAAATGCAAAGTGTAGGCATACCTGACATATCACGAGTTGCATTCCAGACACTGCAATAAAGTTAATATACAAATAAAGTGAGGCAGACAAACTTTTGGCTTCCCAATGTATATAAAAGTTATGTTTACACTATATTGTAGTGTACTGCATGTGCACTACCATTATGTCTAAAACATATACATACCTTAATTTTAAAAATATTTACTGCTGGGCTTGGTGGCTCACTCCTGTAATTGCAGCACTTTGGGAGGCTGAGGCGGGCAGATCGCTTGAGCTCAGGAGTTGGAGACCAGTCTGGGAAGCATGGATAAACCCGCTCTCTACAGAAAAAAAAAAAAAAAAAAAAAAAAAAAAAAAATTAGCGGGGTGTGGTGGTGTATGGCTGCAGTCCCAGCTAATCGAGAGGCTGAGGTGGGAAAATCACCTAAGCCTGGAAATTCGACATTGCAGTGAGCCAAGATCGTGCCACTGCACTCTAGCTTAAGTGACAGAGTGAGACCCTGTCAAAAAACCCCAAAAAACAAACAACAAACAAACAAAAACTCAAAAAACGTTATGCTAAATAATGCTAACAATCACCTCAGCCTTCAGCGAGTCTGAATATTTTTCCTGGTGGAGAAATCTGCTCATCATTGATGATTGCTGACTGATCAGGATGGTGGTTGCAAAAACCATTGCTTTACCAAGTAAGTTTATGAAATAATATAAACAATATGTTGGTCATTTCACCATTGTTTACAGAATCTTCACCAGGAGTAGATTTAATCTCAAGAAACCACTTTCTTTGCTCACCTGTAATTTTTATTTTGCAACTGCTCATCCGTTCATTTCATGATGAGATACCAGCAATTCAGTCTCATCTTCAGACTCCATTTTTAATTCTAGTTATCTTGCTATTTCTAACACATTTGCAGTTACTCGCTCCACTGAAGTCAAATTCCTCAAAGTCATCTATAACAGTTGGAATCTACTTCTTCCAAACTCCTGTTCATGTTAATATTTTGACCTCCTTCCATGAATCATAAATATTGTCCATTGCATCTAGAATGCTCAGTTCTCTCCAGGAGACTTTTCACTTCTTCATGCCAAATCCATCAGAATAATCACTATCTCTGGCAGCTATAGCATTATAAAATGTATTTATTTTATAATATGAATGAAAGTCAAAATTACTCCTTGATGTATGGGCTACAGAATAAATGTTTTGTTAACAGGCATGAAGATAACATTAATCTTCGTATATATCTTCATTTGAGTTCTTGGGTAAATAGGTAACTTGTCAATAAGCAGTAATATTTTGAAAGAAATCTTTTTTTTCCTGAGCAGTAGTTTTAAAAAATGGGTTTAAAATATTCAGTAAACTGTGCTATAAACAGATATGCTTTATTGTTCCATTTATAGAGCATACGCAGACTAAAGTTAGCATAATTCTTAACAGCCCTAGGATTTTCAGATAGTAAATGAACATTGGCTTCAACTTAAAGTCGCCAGCTGTAATGCCTTCTAATAAGAAAGCCAGTCTGTCTTTTGAAGCTTTGAAGCCAGACATTGGCTTATCGATAGCTATGGAAGTCCTAGATGGCATCTTCCATTAGAAGTCCACTTTGTTTATATTGAAAATCTGTTGTTTAGTGTATCTATCGTCATCATTCATCTTACCTAGAACTACTGGATAACTTGCTGTAGCTTCTACATGAGCACCTGCTGCTTCACCTTGCATTGGTGTGTTAGAGAGATGGCGTTATCTCTTCAACTTTGTAAACCAACCTCTGCTAGCTTTAAACTTTTCTTCTACAGCTTCCTTACCTCTCTTAGCCATCACAGAATTGAAGAGAGTTAGGGCCTTGCTCTAGATTAGAATTTGGTTTAAGGGAATGTTGTAGCCACTTTGATCTTCTATCCAGACCATTAAAACTTTCTTCATATCAGAAAGAAGGCTTTTTCATTTTCTTATCGTTCATGTCTTCTTTGGAGAAACACTTTAAATTTCTTTCAAGAGCCCTTTGTTTGTTTATAAATTTATTATTTAATTTTTTAAAGCCCCAAGTAAACCTTATGGGAAAAATCAGAAGAGTTGGACTTCCTTACATCTATGTTATGGATTTTTTCTTTTTTCAATTGATGCGTATTTCTACATATTTATGGAGGACCTGTGATATTTTGTTACATGCATGGAATGTGGATTGATCCGCTCAGGGTACTTAGTGTATCTATCACCTCAAGTATTCATCATTTCTATGTGTTAGGAACATTTCAAGTCCTCTCTTCTAGTTATTTTGAAATATATAATATATTGTTATGAACTATAGTCACCCCACTGTGCTATAGAACACAGAACTTATTGGTTCTATCTGACTGTATATTTGTACCCATTAACCAACCTCTCTTAATCCTCCTCCCCACCTTCCCAGCCTCTGGTATTTGTCATTACTCTCTCTACCTCCATGAGATCAGCATTTTTAACTCCCATATATAAGTGACAGCATGCAATATTTATCTTTCTGTGCATGGCTTATTTCACTTAATATAATGACCTCCAGTTCCATCCATGTTGCTGCAAATGACATGATATTATTCTTTTTTGGGGAATAGCATGCCATTTTTGTATTTATATCACATTTTTAATCTATTCATCCATTGGTGGACACTTAGGTTGATTCCGTATCTTTGCTACTGTGAATAACGCTGTAGTAAACTGAGAGTGCAGGTATGCCTGTGATATATTGTATTTCTTTCCTTGGATAAATACCCCATAGTCCAATTGCTGGGTCAAATGGTAGTTCTCCTTTTAGTTTTTTGAGAACTCTTCATACTGTTTTCCATGATGTCTTTACTAATTTATATTATCACTAACAGATTGCTAGCATCTGTTATTATTTTTGTGTAGCTTTTTTTTTCTTTTTAACTTGGAATTCTATTTAGTTTAGTGGATCTATTTATAGACCCACTGATCTGGGACATCTTAAACTTTGGTGGGAGAGAAGTGGTAGAATTACTTCAATTGGAATGTTGGGAATGAGCAATGAAGGACATAATAATAAATTAAAATTAGGAGGATTGCTAATTACACCAAATATATATTTTAATAATGTTTTACAAATCTATGTGGGTATTTGTTCATTTTAATGTCTGTCTTTCCACTATGATTAGAAACAAAAATACTTGGACATTCTGGATTAATTAAAGTCCCTTGTGAAAAATCTGCTTTAATAACCAATGATCATTCATTTCCAACATGATGAGAGGCAGACAAGGAACACTGGATTTGTAAATTGGTTCTAGTTCTATTTTAATCTAACTTTTGAGCTATTATTTCTTTTTGACTTTTCTGAACTTGGAGTTCAAATCTGTAAGTAGTGAAACACTACGTCCATTCAACACTGAGCACCATGACAGGAACGCGGCTGGGCTCAATTAGTATTTATTGAATGAATACATAGTCTTCATTTGTTCAGTCATTGTATTATCAAAATGAAAAAAAAAGAGACAACTGTGAACTTTGTGGCTGAATTTTGGCCGTTTTTCCCTTGTACATTACCACTTGCTTGTTTATTGCTAATTGTTTTCCCAACCAGAGAATTAGAAAGGGAAAACATGAATAGATATTAAACAAATAGCAGTCAAATTTAGTCCTAATTAGTGGTTACTTTAAATGCTTTCATTGGAGAAATAAGATAAAAAGTAAGTACACAGTGAGGTTTGGGGATTAACCAGTTATCTGTTAATCATATTTATTTTAGGCAAAAAATTATCATAAATAATAAAGACTTGTTGCCCATGTTGACAACTGGGGAAAATGTAATATAGAAAAGTTTCAAGTGGGTTGTTCAAGTGATTGTTAGTCCTTTATTTCCTCCTCATTTTCCTCTGCACGTTTAGAAATTTTAGTACTGCACGGTTAGAAATGTTATAATAATGAACGTATGTTCCTTATTCTTTCTTTTGTATCCCTTCTTTACCATAACTTCCCACATTTTACTTGTATTTTAGTGGATTTTAGTTCCATCTTCATGAAAAAGTCTTAATTTTTTTCTGGGAAGTAAATTCTGTCATCTGTAATTCCTGACAGTAAAAAAAGCCATCTCATGTGTATTGTATTTATTATTTCTGCTGTTTATAAATGATTAGGTCTTTATTTTCATCCCCAGATCTTCTGTGGTTCCTATCACACATATAACTATGGTTTTACATCCTAATCTTCTGGTCTTAAACAGTCATCCATATTTTCTGATGTTTCACCTCTCTGTGTTATATTCAGTGTAATTCTCATTGAAGGTGGGTTGTGTTTTCATAGGGATTTAATAACAACTTTAAATTTTAACAGGTTTATTAAGGTATAGTTAACATTCAACAAAAAAGCAAATTATACAAGTTTAATCTACCTGTATGTAATTTGATCAGTTTGGACATATGCATACAGCTGTGATACCATCAAGAATCAAGATATTAAACATACACATATCTGTCATCGCCCCAAATTTTCTGTCTCTTTCCTTAATACAGTAAAAACACTTAACCTGAGATTTAACTTCAATGCATTTTGAAGTGCATAACACCACATTGTTAATTATAGGTACTATGTTACACAGATTATCTCAGAACTTACTCATCTCAAATGACTAAAATTTTATACCCATTTCCCAACAATTTTCTCTTTCCCTCTACCCTTAGTCTCTGGTAACTACCCCGTTTCTCTCTGTTTCTATGAGTTTGACTATTGCAGATGCCTCATATACGTGGAATCATCTTTGAGACAGGCTTATTTTGCTTTGCATAGTGTTCACTAGGCTCATACATGTTGTTGCAATTGGTAGTATTTTTTCTTCTTTAAGGTAAAATAATATTCCATTGTATGTATATACCATGCTTTCTTTATCCATTGATCTGTCAATGGATATTTGGGTTGTTTCCATATCTTGGCTATTATGAATAATGCTGTAATGAATATGACAGTACAAAGTATCTCTGATCCTGATTTCATACATGCCAAGAAATAAGATTAGTGGATCATATGGTAGTTATATTTTAATTTTTAAGAAATTTCCTTACTATATTCTCTATGGTGGCTGCACCATTTTACATTTCCATCAACATTGTACAAGTATTCCAAATTCTTCATATTTTTGTTCCTATTTATTTATTTTTGATAATAGCCATCCTAACAGATGTGAGGTGCTATCTCAGTAGTGTTTTGATATGGATTTCCTTGGTGATCAATGATGTTGAGTACCTTTTTACCTACCTGGTGTTCATATTGTATGTCTTCATTGGAGAAAAGTCTACTCAAGTCCTTTGTCCATTTTTAAATTGGATTATTCATTCTTTTGTGTTTGGTTTTCTTTTTCTTTTTACTTTTGAGTTATAGCAGTTTTGATATATTTTGGAATTAATCACATATTATATAAATGCTTTGCACATGTTTTCTTTCATTCCACAAAAATGGCCTATGCTTTTTCACTCTGTTATTTTCTTGGTAGTGCAGAAGCTTTTTAGTTTGACGTTGATTCTTGTATCAATTTTTGCTTTTGTCGACAGTGTTTTTGAGACCTTTAATTTTTGCTAATGTGTGGTAGGCTTAGTTTTCAGTGACAGTCCCTTGTAGAATGAGACTGGTGAATCACAAACCTTCACAGCAACCTGAATGCAATTGGAGACCATTATTCTAAGGGAAGTAACTCAGGAATGGAAAACCAAACATCGGATGTTTTTATTCATAAGTGAGAGCTAAACTATGAGGATGCAAAGATGTAAGAATAATACAAAGAACTTTGGGGGCTTGAGGGAAAGTGTGGGAGGGGGTGAGGGATAAAAGACTACACATTGGGTGCAGAAATCACCACTAACGAACTTATTAATGTAACCAAGCACCACCTGTGTCCCCAAACCTCAGGAAAATCTCAAAAATCACCACTAAAGGACTTACTCATGTAATCAAACACAGCCTGTTCCCCAAACTTCCCCTATTTAAATATTTTTAAAAGCAAAAAAAGAAAATCCACTTTACAAATAGAAAACAAAAATCAATCTGAACAAGAGGACCAGATGTTCTCACACGATGTAAACAATGTAAATTAAAATCCCCAAATACTATGAATAAAGACCAATGTTTTTGGACGGTCTGGGGCCTCAGAGCCTAGGTAAAGATGATAGATGTCATATTCTTATCTTATCCTTATAATAGTACAGAATTTTTTTCTCTAGTCCAGCATTTTATTAGAGATATAATTTGAGAGCCAATGTTTAATTGCAATTCATTGCCGTATAAAGATTTAAGAATTTCTCAGCTTTAAGAGTGTTTTCTATTTTATTATTTATAGTTTTTAAATAAATGTTTCTTAGTTTACCAGAACTGAAGAATAGCCTGGTCAATTTTTCATATAATTATTGTCAAATTCATGTTAATACATCCCTTAGATAAAAAAAATTAGAACTTTATCTTACCCTGTATACATTTATACCAATATAAAACTATAATTCTAATTTTTTTAGATGTTGAAAATATTATAAAATTAACTGAGATAATTAGTTCACAGAATTTTTTGTTAATTGTAGTATTTATGGACTGTTAATACCTTATAGAATTATATACTTATTGTTTTTGAAACAATGATTTTTTTTCAAAAATGCTATGGATCATATTTTATAGAAAAATAAAATTTTATTAATTAAACCAGGTTATAAAGATTTCTATGTACATTACTGCACTGTATGAATGTTCTAGAGAATTAACAGCGTGTAATTCCCTGTTCAGTCTAAACACTAAATAATTACTTGCCCAATTAATACATTCAGAAATTACTATGTATTAGAAACCATGTATTGCACTGAAGATACAGTTGGGCAAATCACGATTCCAGCCCCTGAACTCATGGAACTTTAGACTTTTAGAGTTTTATATTAATGGTATTATGAACATCATTAATTTTTGGTGAAAATACTATTATTTCTCAATTAATATGTGTAGCCCCATCAGAGTTCTGGCTAAAGTTCTGATGTATTAGTCACAATGAGATTGTGCCCAAGTGATAAATTCCCTCTGGCCAATGAGATAAGAATGCTACTTAAAATAGTGTCACTCGAAATGCAAACAGAATTAAAATTTTACATTTGCCTCTCTGAACTCTCTTTATAACACTGATTCAAGGAAGGTAGGAAGGAAAGAACAGAAGGAATGAAGTGTAAGAAGTAAGGAAGAAAATAAAGATAGATGGAAGGAAATGAGGAAAGAAATACAGAAGAAAGGAAAATAAGGTACCTATTAGTTAATGGATTAGGCAGTATACTCAAAATAGAGTAACTCAGCTATTTAATTAAATACAGCTAATGAATAAAGACCCTAGGTGACTGGAAGAAGAACATTTAATACAGTTATAAACTAGCAAGGAATCTGTGAAGATGTTAATAAATCTTGGTTTCTGCCTGACACTTTATGTATATACAAAGCCTTGTTTGTGCAAATTGCAGTCCTAAAGGAAAAAAAAAGAGTTAGTTAGTACAACATATTAATTTTTGAAAATATCATTTAAACTATAGTAATACAACCTATGTAAACTACAACTAGTTTGTATTTTTGAAACATGAAGGAAATAGCTATAAGCAGATTACTCACTGAACTGTTCCCAGTGAATTTGAAGGAACTGTATTATCTTGTTATATTTCTGCCATACAGCAGAGGGCTCTGCTTGTATTGACCATAACATTGAATATTGTATTAGAGCTTGAGTAGAATATGGAAATAGATATTTATTAAATACAATATTGGAAAATAAAAATAAAATTATAAATAAGATGGTAGAAGTCATTTAAATCTTTTGGTTCAGATAAAGTTCTCTGTTTCTTTTTTTTATTGTTTATTTGCTGCTTTCAAATTTTATTATGCCTGTTCAGGTTTGCTTTTCTGACTATTATTACGTGAACATTATATAGCTCAGAAAAATAATAATGAGAGAGGCTGTTGATTTCTTCCTAAATCATTTTAGCAATAAGATTGTTACTAGAATAATTATTACAGTAAAAGAAAAACAAACCTTTGCTCTTAAAGCAGTGTGGGTTATAGTTTATAAATGAAACATAATTATTGAAAATTGATATATATAAGGAACTAGGCTAATCACTGAATAGAGACAATTATAAATAAAACACAGTGTCTTCTCTTGTTGAATATGAATAATATGCATAAAAATAATTATATAAGACAGAATAAAGAAAGTGTCATAAAAAAATGTACCACTAAAAGGTGCTAGAACAATTCAAATGATAAAAGTTACATAATCAGTTACTCGGGTGGATGAATGGGAAGAATGAGAGTGATAAACTTTTTAGACAGAACATAAGGGTCTACCAGGCACAGCATTACGAAAAACAGGAAGAATATTCAGGGAATCACAAATGCTCAGTTTGCCAAAAAGTAGAGTTCAAAAAGATGATAAGAATGAGACAGGTTCTATGAGTTACAGTGGATTAACTTTAACACAAACCTGCAAATGCCTGGATGAAATGTTTACTTACTTAGTACTTATTATACCTCATACTAAAACTAGAAGACTCATAACCCTAGACACGTAAACTATCTTAGAACCATCAAGATGCCACAGATTGAAATATTGACGTATCAAAATAAATTCAACAAACATTGACAGAAATATATTTGCAAGAATATCTACTTGAATATACATAAATTGTTTTATTGGATTTTATAAATTTTGACAGTTGTGTAAATATGTTTGCTTTGCTATAATATCATGGTTTTGTATAACAAACCACATGTACATTCAATAAATTTTTATTATATTTTTTCCTAAAATGCACAATGGGTTTATATTAAGGAAAAGAAAATAACAACAACAACAACGAGTCTTTCTAAGAAATACTGGCTAATTTTGACATAAAAAATTGTAGAACTCTCAGCTCATTTAAATTTATTATAATTATTGACATATTTTGAATGTCAATGTTTTGAATCTTATTAAATGCTTACTGTTTTTTGCCAATAGCACATGTGATGTTTTTATGTCACCTTGTGTAAGCTACAATCTCTAGATATTCAATCAAACACTGATCTAGGTGTTACTTTGAAGGTATTTTGCAGATGTGATCGTGGTCAATAATCAGTTGGCTGTAAATTAGAGATATTTGATGTCATAATAGATATTTTGGGTGGACTCTATTGAATCAATTGAAAGATCTTAAGAGCAGAACTGAGGATTCCCTAAAGAAGAAGAAATTCATCTTGTACCTAACAGCTTCAGTCTTTGCTAAAGAATTCCAGCCTTTCTCCTGACAGCCTGCCCTTTGGATTTTCTATTTGCTACACATTTCTCCCAAATCATGTAAGCCAAATGATGACAATAAAACTCTTAATATTTATCTACTACTGTTTTTGTCCCTCTAGTTGAAGCATGATGGCTACAGTTTTGGTACTGAAAGTGGTTCTGGAAGAAGAGAAGTTTAAAAATAAGTTCTCTGAATTGGTTCTGAAATTTCTGGAATTGGTTTTCTAATGTAATCAGATTTCAAAACACTCATGACTATAAAAGAAATACTGATTTTCCCTCAAATAATGTGGCAATAGAGATAATACAAAAGATTGCCATTGGATACTCTTAATCAAATACCTATTGAAGATATTTTAGAACACTTTAATCAAATTAAGAATTATCATGGGATTTGCTGGAGTAAGTGCATGTATGAGTTAGCTTAGCTGTCATAACAAAATGCTGCTGACTGGATGGCTTGAAAAACAGAAGTTTATGTTCTCACAGTTTTGGAAGCTCCAGCATCCAGGTGCCAGCATGGCCAGTTTCTGGTGAAGCCATGCTTCCTGGATTTCAGATGACCACCTTATTGTTGGGTGCTCACATGAACTTTCCTTGGTGGGTATGTGAGGAAAGAGAGAAACAGAGCTCTAGCATTTCTTTCTCTATAAGGTTTCAGCCTTATCAAATTAGAGTCCTACCCTTACAATCTCATTTAAATAAATGACATCCTTAAAGGCCTTATCTCCAAATACAGTCACATTAGGGATAGATTAGGACCTCTAATCCAATTAAGTAGGGCTTTATTAATTTTGAAGAAAACAGTTAAGTTCACAGCAGTGGAAAAAGAAAAGGATGAGCTCGGGAAACCAAATTCCTGGCTCAGGCTCTATGTAAATAATTGGAAATGTTTTAAATCTGCACTGAAGTAAATCTTCATCTCCAATAGCCTCAGGTTAAAGCTTTCTAAAAACCAAACTTCAGAGTTTCATCCTGTGAGTGGTTGAATTATAATGCAAATTGGATTCTCAGTCTTGCTAGATATCTTCTCTATTGTGAGGGCATTCGTTGGAAGGAATGGGATTCTAAACATTAAACTAAGTTAATATGAACAGATTTCAATAATGGATTATCAAATCCCTTAATTCTTCCAGAACCTCTTTCCCAGTAGAAGCGGACCTTCCACCCATATCCAAAGAACTTATATTGGTCTCTCCTGAGGCCTCTGACTTGCAAGGGACTACTGAATCACCTCATGTCCTACCCATGCATGCTTCTAGACCTATAATTAGACTCAACTTCCAGCACACCAAAAAGGGTAAGATACAAAGTCTAACCCATAAAAAAGTGCTAAACACCAAGTACTGCATGATTTTTCCACTTTACACAGAAATCTTAGGAATATCTGTTGGAATTTACCTTAAGGATGTGAGATCACTGTAGAAAAATAAAACATTGGATCAGGCCGAAACTTTTTTTTTAACCGTTAAATTAAATGTGAGAATTCAAGCTTTTTTTTCATATGATTGTTGGGCAAATGTATGTCTTCTTTTGAAAAGTGTCTGTTCATGTCCTTTGCCCAGTTTTTATGGAATTGTTCATTTTTTTCTTGTAAATTTGTCTAAATTCCTTGTAGATGCTGGATATTAGACCTTTGTTGGATGCACAGTTTGCAAATATTTTTTCCCATTCTTTAGGTTGTTTGCTTACTCTGTTGATAGTTTCTTTTGCTGTGCAGAAGCTCTGTATTGTAATTAAATCCAATTTGCCAGTTTTTGCTTTTGTTGCAATTGCTTTTGATGCCTTTTTACCTTTGCCCCTGCCTACGTCCAGAATTTTATTGTCTAGATTGTGTTCCAAGGTTTTTAGAGATTTAGATTTTACATTTAAGTCTTTAGTCCATCTTGAGTTAATTTTTGTATATAGTGTAAGGAAGGGGTCCAGTTTTAGTCTCCTTTATACAGTTAGCCAGTTATCCCAGCACTATTTATTGAATAGGGAATCTTTTCTCCATTGCTTGTTTTTCTCAGGCTTGATGAACATTAGGTAGTTTTAAGTGTGTGGTTTTATTTCTGGATTCTCTATTCTGTTCCATTGATCTGTGCATCTGTTTATGTACCATGCTGTTTTGGTTACCGTAGCCCTGTAACATAGTTTAAAGTCAGGTACTATGATGTCTCCAGCCCTGTTCTTTTTTCTTAGGATTTCCTTGACTGTTTGGGCTCTTTGTTTGTTTTATATGAATTTTAAAATAGGTTTCTCTAGCTTGATGAAGAATGTCAACAGTAGTTGAATAGAAATAGCTAGCATTGAATATATAAATTGCTTTGGGCAGTATGGGCATTTTAATGATGATTTTTCTTATCCATGAGCATGGAATATTTTTGCCATTTGTTTGTGTCATCTCTGAAATCTTTAAGCAGTGGTTCTGAAATCTTTGAACAATAGTTCTCCTCTTAAGAGAGAACTAGTTAGCTGTATCCCTAAGTATTTTATTCTTTTTTGGCAATTGTGAATGAGGGATAGTTTGTGATTTGGATCTCAGCTTGACTATTATTGGTGTATAGGAATGCTAGGGATTTTTGCACATTGATTTAGTACTATGAGACTTTGCTAAAATTGTTTATCAGCTTAAAAAGCTTTGGGGCTGAGACTATCAGGTTTTCTAGCTATGGGAATATGTAGTCTGCAAAAAGGGATAGTTTGACTTCCTTGCTTTATGTTTGTATGTTCTTTATTATTTTTTTTCTTTTGCCCGATTGCCCAGACCAGAACTTCAAACACTATGTTGAATAGGAGTGGTAAGAGATGGTATACTTGTCTTGTGCCAGTTTTCAAGCGGAATGCTTCCATAGTGAATGATTTTTGCCCATTCACTATGATGTTGGCTGTAGCTTTGTCATATAGGGCTCTTATTATCTTGAGGTATGTTCCTTCAATATGTAGTTTATTGAGAGTTTTCAACATAAATCGATGTTGAATTTTGTTGAAAGCCTTTCCTGAATCTATTGAGATAATTGTATGGTTTTTGTGTTTAGTTCTATTTATATGATGAATCACATTTATCGATTTGTGTATGCTGAACCAACCTTGCATCCTGAGGTTAAAGCCTACTTGATCGTGGTGGATAAGCTTTTTGACGTGCTGCTGGATTTTGTTTGCTAGTATTTTATTGAGGATTTTCACACTGATGTTCATCAAGGGTGCTGGCCTGAAGTTTTTGTTGTTGTTGTATCTCTGCCAGGTTTTGGTATCAGGATAATGCTGGCTTCATAGAATAAGTTAGGGAGACATCTCTCCCTCTCATTCTTTTGCAATAGTTTCAGTAAGAATAATACAAGCTGTTTTTTATATATGTGTTAGAATTCAGCTGTTAATACTTCTGGTCCTGGGCGTTTTTTTTTTTTTTTTTTTTTTTTGGTTGGTAGGCTATTTATTACTGCCTCAATTTTAGAACTCATTATTGGTCTGTTCAGGGATTCGATTTCTTCCTGACTCAATCTTGGAAGGGTGTATGTGTCCAGGAATCTATCTATTTTTTCAAGACTATCTAGTCTATGTACAGAAAGTGTTCATAATATTTTCTCTTTGCTCTTTGTCTTTTTGTGGGGTCAGTGAGAATACTGACATTTTCATTTGTAATTGTGTTTATTTAAATCTTCTCTCTCTTCTTTATTATTCTAGCAAGTGGTCTATCTATTTTACTAATTTTTTTAAAAAGCTCCTGTATGTGTTGATTGTTTGAATGGTTTTTCATATCTCTTTCTCCTTCAGTTCAGCTCTGATTTTGGTAATTTATTGTCTTCTGCTAGCTTTGGGATTTGTTTGCTTTTGGTTCTTTAATTCTTTTAGTTGTTGGATTGTTAACTTGAAATATTTCTAACTTTTTGATGTGGGCACTTAGTGCTATAAATTTCCTTCTTAACACTGCCTTAGTTGTGTTCCAGAGATTCTGGTATGTTGTATCTTTTTTCTCATCAGTTTCAAATAATTTCTTGATTTTTGCCTAAATTTTATTATTTACCCAAATGTCACTCAGAAGCAAATTATTCAATTTCCATGTAATTGTATGGTGTTGAGTGAATTTCTTAGTCTTGATTTTGAATTTGTTTGTGCTACAGTCAGGGAGACTTTTTGTTACAATTTCAGTTATTTTGCATTTGCTGAGTGTTTTACTTCCAATTATTGATTGAGTTTAGAGTCTGCCATGGGGCCATGAGAAGAATGTATATGCTGGTGTTTTAGGATGGAGAGTTCTGTAGACAGGTCCATTTGATCCAGAGCTGAATTCAGGTCCTGAGTATTTTTGTTAATTTTCTGTCTCAATGATCTGTTTAATATTGTCAGTGAGGTGTTAAAGTCTCCACTATTATTGCGTGAGAGTTTAAGTTTCTTTGAAGGTCTCTGAGAACTTGCTGTATGAATCTGAGTGCTCCTTTATTGGATGTCTTTATATTTAGGATAATTAATTAGATCTTGTTGAATTGAACACTTTACCATTATGTAATGTCCTTTTTGATCTTTGTTGGTTTCAATTCTGTTTTGTCTCAAACTATAACTGCAACTTTTTTTTCTGTTTTTCCTTTGCTTAGTAGATTTTTCTCTGTCCTTTTATTTTGACCCTATTTGTGTCATTACAGGTGAGATGGGTCGCTTGAAGACAGCATACCAATGTGCCTTCATTCTTGACCCAGCTTGCCTCTCTGTGTCTCTTAATTGGGACATTTAGCCCATTTACACTTACAGTAAATTTGATACTGTCATCATGGTGTTAGCTGGTTACTTTTCAGTCTTGTTTATGTGGTTGCTTTATAGTGTCACTGGTCTTTGTGCTTCGATGTCTCTGTTTTGGGTGGTAATGGTCTGTCTTTTTTCCAATATTTAGTGCTTCCTTCAGGAACTCTTATAAGGCAGCTCTGGTGGTAACAAATTTTCTCAGCATTTGCTTATCCGAAAAGGATCTTATTTCTCTTTTGCTTATTAAGCTTAGTTTGGCCAGACATGAAATTCTGGCTTGGAACTGCTTTTCTTCAAGAATGTTGAATATTAACCCTCAATCTCTTCTGGCTTGTTTGGTTTCAGGTGAGAGTTTGGCTGTTAGTTTGATAGGCTTCCCTTTGTAGGTGACCTGGCCTTTCTCTCTAGCTGCCTTTAACATTTTTTCTTTCATTTTGACCTTGGAAAATTTAATGATTATGTGTCTTGGAGATGATCTTCTTATGGAGTACCTTACTGGGGTTCTCTGCATTTCCTGAATTTGAAGATTTTACCTCTCTAGCCAGAAGGGGGAAATTCTCATGGATGATATCTTAAAACATGTTTTACAAGTTGTTCCATTCTCTCCATCTCTTTCAGGTACACCAATCACTCCGAGATTTGGTCTCTTTACATAATTCTACATTTCTCTGTGGTTTTGTTTATTCCTTTTTATTATTTTTTTCTCTATTTTTTTCTGTCTGTCTTATTTCAGAAAGCCAGCCTTCAAACTCTGAAATTCTTTCCTCTGCTTGGTCTAGTCTACTATTAATACTTGTGATGGCATTATAAAATTTTTGTAGTGTGTTTATCAGCTCTATCAGATTGGTTATGTTCTTCTCTATACTAGTTATTCTGTCTGTCAGCTCCTGCAATGTTTTATCATGATTATTTAACTTCCTTACATTAGGATACAATTACTCCTTTAGCTCAGTAACCTTTTTCAGGTCTACACCTGAATTCTACTTCTGTCATTTCAACCATCTCAGCCTCAGTCTCATTCCAAACTTTTGCTGGAGAAGCGATGTGGCCATTTGGAGGAAAGAAGTCACTCTGACTTTTTCAGTTTTTGGTATTCTTGTGCTGATTCTTTCTTATCTTTGTGGAGTTATCTATCTTCAATCTTTGAGGTTGCTGTCCTTTGGATTTTTTAAAAATTCTACTTCATGACTTTGGGGTTTGATTGTGGTACAAGCTGGATTTAGCCTACTGGCTTTATTTCTGGAAGATTTTAATGGGCCAGCATTACATTCAGTTCCCAACTCCTGGACTGCATGCTCAAAATCTGCGGGACTTGTATTGAGTTTTGACTTTGTTCTCTGCCTTTTTGAAGTTTGGAGTCTACTGTGCTGGGAGGACCAAGGTGGCAGCTGCAGCAGAGTGCTAGCTGATGCAGGGCTGCCTGCCTCCCTATGGGCATTCGACACAGTGGTAGAGGCAAGGCAGCTGAAGGAGAAGCAGAGGGCCATTTCTGGGAACTGTGTGTGCTGTTGAACTGAAGATGGTGTTGGTTTGGGGCAGAATACTGGCCAGTGCGAGTCTGGGTGCCTTCTTGGTGCCCCACAAACAGAAGTGATTGCTCAGGGTGTGGAAGGGCCTCTGTTCTTTATGCAGCATTAGTATAAAGGTGGGTCAGTGGTGGGTGCAGGGCTTTCTGGCTCTGTGCCTGTCAATAATCCATCTGCAATGGTGGTCAATGAAGGTAGGGAGTTACTGCACTCCTGTGTGCTGGCAGGGAAAGTAAACCAAAACCTGCTCATGCAGACACATACCAGCAAAGTGATGTGGGAAGTTGCTGTGGGCTCCAGGGAAGCTGCAGTAGGGTGAGGGAACCTGCAGGGTGGTACATGGCCATAGGGGCTGCCTTGCTGGAGTTCTTCACTAGTCAGGCTTGTTCCACCACTGCAGAAGCTATGGTGTTGGGTCCCCAGGGCACCTGAGACTTCCCTGTAAGCAGGCATGGCCAGGTTGGGGCTCCAGGAGAGGCCAGCAGACCAAGGAATACTCAGGTTGGACCATCCCCATCTGATGTGCAAGATCACCTGCAAAGATCAGGTCTGACAGTTCCCCTAGGACTAAAGTCTCTTATGGGAGTGAGTTGAGGCTACAGAGATGGCCATCCTTGATCATGCTCCACTACAGAAAGTCCCACATCAAAACCTCTGGGCTCCACATCAGCTGGCTTGCTGCTTCACTAGTTTGCTTATCTCCTGTGGGCTCCATCCAAGAGAGATGTGGGTCAGCAATTGCTCAATGCAATCCACCCAGGATGGTGGGTGTTTGCTTTGGGCTCAAGCCATGGATTCCCTTTCTTGTGATGAGCAGTAGTGGAAGTGTGGGACTCCTGGGAGATGGACTGGCCTCCTCACCTTGGGTCAACTGCAGCTTTTTGGGGGTGTGGATATGGTACTTAGAGTATCGGCTCCTTCATTAGTCCAAGGGTAGCAGGGACAGTTCAGTTGCCCCTGGAGGCTATGTCCGGTGAGTTGCCAAGTTGCTACTATCTCAATAGCACTGATGAGGAATGGCTAGACGCACAGGCCTGGAGAAACTGCCTGGTGAAAAGATAGGGAACAAGGCACCCATGTTACAATCTGCCTGGTGAAAAGATACAGAACCAGGCACCCATGTTACAATCTGGTCAGTTTTCTGTAGGTCAGCTGCAGTATGCTTGAGGCTTGCTACAGTCCCTAGTCACCCCAGATTTCCGAGTGGAAGTATTACCTTCGCTGGAGGTATTACCACTGAAGGCTGCAAAACAGCAAAGATGGAAACCTACCACCTCCTCTGGGAGCTCCATCCCCAGCAGGTACAGACCTGTTGCCAGCCTGAATGAGCCTGTATGAGGTAGCTGGAGACCCCGGTTGGGAGGTCTCACCCAGTTAGGAGGAATGGGATTGGGGACCTGCTTAAAAAGTAGTCTGGCCAAGTAGGGCTGCTGTGATGTGTTGGAATACTGCTTCCACCCCCAGTCTGCTTGGACTCTCTAAAGCCTGAAGGCTGGAAGAGCTAATTTGCCCAAGCAGCAAAGATGGCAGCCTGTCCCTAGCCCTAGGAGCTCCATCTCAGATCACAACACTACTATCAGTGGCTGGCTGGAACTCCATGCCAAAGGGTCTTACCCTGTGATGTGTCATGGAAATGGGGCCTGCAGACAATTGCTATTTTGCCCCCTGGATTCAGCCTCTTTCCTTTGGGTACGTAGAGGGGGTCTAAAGTTGCAGCTACTTTTGCCAGGAAGTCCAAAAACCCAGAGTATCTAAAGCTTCTGGACCTCCACATGTGCCCAAGTGGCTGCCCTGTGGAGACTCCACATAGTTTTGTGAGTCAGACTGAAGGTTCTGGTGGGGTAGGTTTAAAAGGGGATCTCCTGACCCAAGGGTTGGAAAGATCTGTGGGTAAAGCATGGTTTCCTGGGATTGCACATTCACTCACCACTTCCCTGGGTGGGGGAGTTTCCTTTGGCTCTGTTCTCCATGGATCAAGTTGTTTGTTTGATTGGTCCCAAGGCTGGTACCTGAATGCTTTAGTTGAAGGTTTATTCACCCCTTCTGTTCCTCTCTGTGAGAACCATGCACAGTAGCTGCTTATAGTCAGCCATCTTGGCTACAACCCTGAAACTGATATCAACTTACTAAACAGAGATTTTGGAATCAATAATTTAGCAGAAGGTGTTATAAAAGCCTCTAATTGTTTTGTTTATTGACTGACACATAGACTCAAAGGTGGCCTATACTAAATAAAGTTAAAATTCCCATACTGGCTGGATAGAGGAAGGTATCAAAGGCTTACAGACAGGGGATGCTAAATTGGATTTAGTCTGAAAGACCTGTTCACCCACCCTAAGAGGGTCCAGAAGAATCGTCTTTCACCATGACTGCAAGTTATAAATTTTTGATAGGCACCCCAGTGTCCTTAATGTGCTCTGTGTTTACTCTTCTCTGTATGACAGAAATTATAGTGGGAACTATTAACATTAAACTAGAATCCTTAAATGCAATTGTGATAATAAAATTACAGAGTGACACTGAAGCAGGATATGTGGTCAAAGAAGCAACCACATCCTCTGGATGCAACAACCATGGTGACCATAGAATCAGCAAAATAAGCCCCAGCATTCACATTGTAGTCAAGATCATTCAAGCAAAGCTATCTTCAGTAGGAAATTTTCCCTGTAGAGAGCATGTGCATTTTGATTTTACCTGACCTTGGACTGATCTTTTACTCATTATAATAGTAAAAAACACACCCCTGGGTGGAGATTTAACATTCTAATGAGATATCCAATGTATGAAAAAGCATGTACAGCTACTGCACATGTGCACCCAGAGGACCACCCATAATAACATGCTTACTAGTAACACTTCTTCACATTCACTTATGAATAATTATGTAAGGCTTCTGATATGGTTTGGCTGTGTCCCCTCCCAAATCTCATCTAAAATTGTAACTTCCATAATTCCCACATGTCCTGGGAGGAACACAGTGAGAGGTAAATAAATCAGAGTGGTGGGTTTTTCTTGTGCTGTCCTCCTGAGCGTGAATAAGTATCACAAGGTCTGATGGTTTTACAAAGGGCAGTTCTCCTGGACATGCTCTCTTCCCTGCCATCATGTAAGACGTGCCTTTGCTCCTCCTTTGCTTTTTGCTATGATTGTGAGGCCTCCCCAGCCATGTGGAACTGTGAGTCCATTAAACCTCTTTTTCCTTATAAATTACCCAGTCTTGGGTATTTCTTTATAACAGTATGAAAATGGACTAATACAGCGCCCATAAAGGGAGTTTTCCTAGTGTCAGTTTTGTGGTCTCATCCTTATAAGCAGCCCATCCTGAATCCTCTCTCAGTGTGTACTGTCTATTCTTCACCTAACTTTTAGAGTATTCTTTCTCCTGGCAATAAATTACTCTATGCTGTATCTCCTTTGTTGTATGTCTCTTGTTTAAATTCTTTTAAACTAAGAAAACAAGAATCAAGGTTTCACAACAGCCATCAAGAGCAGGAGCTGAGTTAATTTTAATTGTCAAAGATTTGGTGAATACGAACAGTAGTTCCAAAGCAGTAATCAAAATAGTCTGACTCTCAGAGACATATGACATTGGCTAGTCAATCATGTTGTCTCTAGAAAACAAATAGATAGGCAATCTACTGAAGTCTTAATTGATCTGTATAAACTGATATATCTTTGTAATATAAACAACTGCCCTTCAAGGGAAGCACCAATTTCAAAGTTTGCAGCTGAAAAGAAGATAACTTGATTATAGCAACTGCACACAGTCCGTATCTTTGTGCCAATGCTTTAGTTTGGAATGGTCAATAGCTCTCTGATACTACAACTTTCTTTTTCCAGAACTTCACTCTGTAGCTCCCCTCACATTTGTGTATGTTAGCTGCTATGGTATTTGATATGATTTGACAATATCCCCACCCAAATTTCTTCTTGAATTGTAGCTCCCATAATCCCCATGTGTCATGGGAGGGACCTGATGGGACGTAATTGAATCACGGGGGTGGGTATTTCCTCTGCTGTTCTCATGAAAATGAATGAGTCTCAGGAGATCCAGTGCTTTTATAAAGGGGAGATTTCCTACACAAGTTCCCTTTTTTGACAGCTGCCATTAAGACGTAACTTTGCTCCTCATTTGCCTTCTAATGTGATTGTGAGGCCTCCCCAGCCATGTGGAACTGTGAGTCAATTAAAACCTCTTTTCTTTCTAAATTACCCAGTCTTAAGTATGTCTTTATTAGCAGCATGAAAAGAGACTAATACAGTATTCTCAGGTTTTCAAAATTTCAGATAATGACTTTTTATAAATGATAAAACCCCAGATTAATCCATTTTTTAATGCCCAGAGAGGTATGCCACCATAAGACAACCTTAAAGTATGTAGCAGTAATTTTGTGCCAGGTCCTGGGGATGGGGACACTATTAAAAGAAGTTAGTAAATGACAAGAAAATAATTAGAGAAGGTTGGGATAACACAGCAAAAAGGAAAATAGGCTGGGGAAAGGGCAATCCGTGTTTTTCTGTAGCAAATTATTTAGTACAGCTCTTCACCTGCAGTAAATTAGAAGGTAGAAAATGTATAAATGAGCTTTTAGACTTAAACAGAGTCTTCCAGGCAGCATATTGATTATATGAGATATTGTGGTACTACAAGAAAGATATTAACTCAGAAATTAACTGAGAAAAGAACGGAAAAGCTTCAAAGTAGAATTTAGAGATTAATATGCAGGGACCAGAATTTGCTAGTTTGGAAAATAAAACTTTTTCTATGTTCAGACTCTCATGTCGGTTAAATATTTTCACATTAAGACATAACCTAAAGGGTAAGACCAAATCAACATTGTTACTATGAAAATATTTACTAAAAATTCTAAAATAATTCAGGTTTTCCCCAGAAGTTAGTTTCTGCTGGATAAATAGGCTTTAGGTCTCCTAGCAGCCATGGCACACCCATAGTTGGAGTAAACAAGCCTAGACGGAGAGGGAAGTTGGGACATAAATTTTGCTTCTGGCTTTTGCTACAGAGTAAACTTGAATCAAAAATCAAGGAAGCTAATGAATATTTGAGAAAGTTGTATTTACAAAAGAATTGCCAGTCTGAGTAAAGTTGATGGGAAATGTAAAAAGTGATAAATATCTCTGCCCTGCCCCCCAACATTCTGTAAGAAGAAAATATTTTGAAAATGTTGATTGAAGGGCATATTTTTCAGTGATCTCTTTGAATAACCAGCATATCATAGGGAAGGAAATCTCCCCAGAAAGAAAATTCAAACTATAAAGAAAAATGGTTGGAGAAGCCCTTCCCAGGGATCAAAAGCAGAATTAAGTCAAGGAAAATTCCCAGAACCTAATAACATTTTCTCAGCAAGATTTCACAATATTCACAGAGTATGATATGCACCTCCTCTTTGTTTTCCCTTTTAAAATGAGAGTGTATTTAGTTTATGCTAAGATTCCATAATTGTAATTAGTGTATGGATAAAGAAGATGTGGTACATATACACAGTGGGGTACTATTCAGCCACAAAAAATGAATGAGATCCTGCTATTTGCAACAACATGGATGAGACTGGCGATCATTATGTTAAGTGAAATAAGCCAGGCACAGAAAGACAAACATCACATGTTCTCACTTATTTGAGGGACCTGAAAATCAAAACAATTGAACTCATGGACGTAGAGAGTAGAAGGATGGTTACCAGAGGCTGGGGAGGGTAGTGAGGGAGTGGAGGAAAAGGTGGGGATGGCTAATAGGTACAAGAAGTAGAAAGAATAAATAAGATCTACTATTTGATGGCACAACAGGGTGACTGTGGTCAATAATAACTGTACATTTTAAAATAATTTAAAGAGTGTAATTGGATTGTTTGTAACCCAAAAGATAAATACTTGAGAGAATGGTTACCCCCTTCTCCATGATATGCTTAGTATGCATTTCATGCCTGTGTCAAAATATTTCATGTACTCCATAAATATATACACCCACTGTGTACCCACAAAAATTTTAAAAATATCTTAAAATATTTTTAAAAACGGGATAACTTTTCTATAGATCATGAGAACCTAGGCTTTAAGCCTGACACGAACAGTTGAATGAGATTTGGGGACGTTTTGGTATTAGGGAAATGTAAAATTTGCATACCATGACTCATTATGTAAAAGATGGCAATTCTTTTTTTTTTTTTGGTCCCAACTTTTTAGTAGCCCCTTGTTGTGTTGTAAACTTACACTGTGGCCATATCCTTACAATGGATGGAGTCTGTTGCCCACCATTTGACTTTGGCCATTGCCTTATGTGGAATGGATGATGGCCCCAAAAATGTCCCAATCCCAGACACCTGTGAATATTACCTTATTTGGAAAAGTATCTTACAGTCATGTTTCTTGTCACAATTTGGACTGCATACACGGTATGACTGTGGTCCTATAAGATTATAATGACACTGAAAAATTCCCGTCACCTAATATTTAACGTACTATATTTCAGAGTGTATGCTTTCTTATTATTAAAGAAAAAAAAGGTTAACTGTAAAACAGCTTCAGGCAGGTCCGTCAGGAGGCATTGTTATCACAGGAGATGACAGCTCCTTGAGTGTTATTGCCTCTGATGGCCTTCCAGGGGGACAGGATGTGGAGGTAGAATAAACTGATGTTGATGATGCTAGCCATGTGTAGGCCTAGGTGAATCTGCATGGTTGTGTCTTATTTTTAACAAAGAAGTTTAAAAATAAATTGATAATAAATAAAATAAATTTAAAAACTGGAAAAAGCTTATAGAATAAGGATATAAAGAAAAATATTTTTGTACAGCTGTACAATGTGTTTGTGTTTTTGGATGTTATAAGAGTACGAGTCAAAAGTAAAAAAAATAAGTTTATAACATAAAAACTTTCAGTAAGCTAAGTTTAATTATAGAGGAAAGTAAATATTTTTAAATAAATTTAGTAGTGCTTAAGTGTACAGTGTTTATAAAGTCTACGGTAGTGTACAGTGTTTATAAAGTCTACGGTAGTGTACAGTAATATCCTAGACCTTCACATTCACTCAGCACCCACTTGCTGACTCACCCACAGCAACTTGCAGTACTAAAAGCTCCATTCATGTTAAATGTCCTGTACAGGTGGACCACATTTTGTCTTTCACACCGTATTTTTACTCTGCATGTTCTATGTTTAAATATATTTAGGGGCCAGGCATGGTAACTCACGCCTGTAATACCAGCAATTTGGGAGGCCATGGTGGGTGGATCACCTGAGGTCAGGAGTTCGAGATCAGCCTGGCTAACATGATGAAATTCGTCTCTACTAAAAATACAAAAATTAGCTGGGCATGCTGGTGCACGACTGCAATCCTAGCTACTTGGGAAGCTAAGGCAGGAGAATCACTTGAACCCAGGAGATGGAGGATGCAGTGAGCCGAGATGATGCCACTGCACTCCAGCCTGGGCAACAGAGCAAGACTGTCATCTTAAAAATAAATAAATAAAAATAAATAAATTACCATTGTGTTACAATTGTCTCCAGTATTCAGTATAGTAAAATGCTGTGTAGATTTGTAGCCTCGGCGCAGTAGGCTGTACTGTGTAGCCTAGGTTTGTTGTGAGCTATACCATCTTGGCTTGTGTAAGTACTCTATGTTTGTACACCAGTGAAAATGCTGAAAGATGCATTTCTCAGAACATATCCCTGTCATTAAGGGAGGCATGACTGTATTCACTTAAGAATCTTTAGAGAAAATGCTTATTCTAGATTATTCTTTGGACCCTAAATGCACATGTATCCTTATAAGAGAGAGGTAGAAGTAATTTTGAGAGAAAGGGCCAGGTCCAGGATGTCACATCTGTAATCCCAGCACTTTGGGAGGCAAAGGTTGGCAGATAGCTTGAGTCCAGGAGTTCAAGACCAGCTTGGTCAGCATGGTGAAACCCTATATCTACAATAAATAAATAAATAAATGAATAAAAATTAGCTGGGCATAGTGGCACACACCTGTAGTCCCACCTACTCAAGAGGCTAAAGTGGGAGGATTCCTTGAGCCTGGAAAGCGAAGGTTGCAGTGCAGTGAGCCCAGATCACACCACTGCACTCCAAGTCCAGTCTGGGCAACCAAGCAAGACCTTGTCTGAAAAACAAAACAAAACAACATAAAACAAGATAGGATGTGGCCACAGAAGCAGAGATTGAAATGATTTGGCTTCAAGTGAAAGAATGATTACAACTAATACATATTATAACTTTCTTTTGTTCATAGAATATAGGTGTAAATAACTGTCAATTTTGAGCCCTCATCTTAAAATTTATCATTTGTTTTGTTCTCAGGGGTTCCCCAGACCACACTTAGGCTTGCTAATTCACTTGAAAACATCACAGACATCAGAAAAGTGTTAATACAGTTGCAGTTTACTTACAGCAAAAGAAAACAGATTAAAATCAGCAAGGAATAACAAGGTACACAGGGTGGATGGAGTCCAGCAGAAAGCAGACATGGACTTCCAACTGTCCTCTCCCAGTGGATTTGTATGAACAGTGCTTATATCCCACAGAAACAGTGTGTGACAACGCATGCACAGTATTGCCTACCAGGGAAGCCCACCCGAACATTGGCGCCTACCGTTTTCATTGGGGATTATTCACAAAGGCATGCAGTGCTCACGTGACTGAGCTCAGCTAAGTCCCAAAACTGCGGACATTTACCATAAATAACATTATTAGTGTAAACCATCTGTCATGGCCCAAAAACTCAAGTGTATGAAGACACACATACCAGGCAAGATACTCCAGGGACTTAGGGGTCATCTGCCAGGTGTTGGGCAAAGAGCCAATCTTAAAACCCGGGGAATGTGCATGATTTGAACAGAGTCTCCCTGAGCTCTTTTCGGAACAGCTGCCTCACTTTTTCCATCTTTTTGAATGCAGATTCTTTTTGGTGTTATTCTGTTTCTGTTGCAAGACTACATTTGGGTGTGTGTGAGGAAGATATCTTTTAGTTTAATATCTTAGTTCATTTTCTGTTGTTTGTAACAGAATACCTGACACTGGGTTATTTATTTAATAAGAAAGGTATTTCTTACAGGTGTGGAGTCTAAGAAGTCCAAGGTTGAGGAGCTGCATCTGATGAGAGCCTTCTTGCTGGTTGGGATCCTCTGCAGAGTCTTGAGTTGGGTAAGGGCATCACATAGTGAGAGGACTAAATGTGTTGGCTCAGTTCGCTCTTCCTCTTATAAAGCCACCAGCATCACTCCCATGATAACTGTTCAATGTGTTAACCCAATATTCCATTAATCTGTTAATTCACGAATGAATTAATCAATTTATGAGCACAGGGCTCTCATGACCCAACCATCTCTTAAAGGCCCACCTCTCAATACTGCCATATTAGAGATTACATTTTCAACAGAAGTTTTGGAGGGGATGAATATTAAAACCATAGCACTTCGCTTTACAGATCAGCCTTTTAAGGGAACTACATCTAGACCTGATGTGACTCATAAAGTCCTGTAATTTAAGCTTGATAAAATGATTGTGTAAGAATGTTGGGGCCCTTATCCTGGGACTCACCATATTGTGATAGCATTTTTTATTTCTCCCTATATTAGTTTGCTAGGGCTTCCGTGATAATATACCAGACCCTGCATGACTTAAATGACAAAAGTTTAAAATTTTTCTCACAGTTCTGTGGGTGAGAAATCTGAAATCAAGGTGTAGGCAGGTTTGGTTTTATTCTGAAACCTTTGTCTTTGGCTTATATACGGCTGTCTTCGCCCTTTGTCTCCACATGGTCATTCTTCTCTGTGTGTATGTGTGTGTCCTAACCTCCTCTTCTAAGGATACAGTTATATTGTATTAGGGCCTACCCCAAAGATTTCATTTAACTTTTATTACCTCTTTAAAAACGCTATCTCTAAATATAGTAATATGAGGTACTAGAGGTTAGGATTTCAATATATAAATTTTGGGAAATGCAATTCAGTCTATAACACTGTTTATATTTTTCTCCTATTCCAAGTACTCAGGCAGTGCTCTCACACATGGATCTGACTTGGGCATGTTGTTCACAAACACGTTGAAGGCAGAGGCTTGGGGATCATTTGAGTGATTAGACTTTTCCTGGTCTTGCATCACTACCATTTTATAAACACAAACCCAGGCTAGACTACTAGAAAAGGAACGATAGGTAGAACCGAATCCAGTAACCCTGAGTTGTCTCAGCTCACAACCAGTTGACTATCAGATATCTGATCTGGGTAGGGTAAAACAAGATAGGCAAAATCACCAGATGAGGCCCAGCCTAAATTACTGAGCAGCAGATTTACGGGATAAATAAATGTTTACTTGTGTGTTTGATGTGGCGTATGTGTGTGTATGTGTGTGTCCATTGTGACTAAGGTTGTGTGGAAAGAGACCACTGAAGAAAGGGCATACCAAATAAGAGAGACACTAGTAAACAAATCAGGCATTGAGATGTGACTCGGAAAGGCAGGCTATGAACCAGGTATAAATCAGGGCTGCACTATTGGCTAGATTATTTCTCCCATATTCACCAATGGTTTGAATATTTTTATTACTACACTTAAATAGAGGTGCTGGCTTTTTCTAAGGCCAACTGCTCTGCTTTTTCAGACAATTAAGTGTGTTAGTTATCACATGAGATAGGTGATTCAAATTAGTCTCCCAAAATAATTGATCACCATGCAAAGAAGTTTGATTTCAATTTAATTTTATCAATGTATTTACATGCACTTTTTTACTGTGTATAACCATAGCATAGTGACTAAAATAATGTTTGACACATTACGCATCTAGTAAAATTACAGATTTATCTTTGTATTTATTTCCAAGAAGCAAATGAACGATTTTCATGCGATATACAGTTTTAGTGACTAGACTGATGACAAGAAACCACTGTTCAATTAATTTTAGATTCCACGTCGTTTGTTGACATAATTATATTACAGGTTTATATAAAAACAGACTTTTAGGTATCATTATGAACCACACATCTGCCCCCTACAGAAAGACATTTTTTTCCATGGGACATAAACTCTTAGATATTTCAGTGAAAGCCACATTCTCCGACAGCCTTTTTTTTTTTTTTAATTTTTTCTCCATAGCTTAGGCTTACCATAGAATTTTTGTAAATGACTGCCTCCTCCTATACCAAACTAGTCCCCTAGAACTCTTCATCACTTTCTCAGATTCTATAGTAATGTACATTTTTAGCACTCCTTCCTGAGTGAGAGTAAAGGCCTCCACCAGCGTGGTTGATGAATGTGATGCCTTATTGGTTTGAAAACATGTCTTGTCCACTCATGAATCACTTCATAACCTTTATCAACTGCCAGCCACATGAAGTCTCTTGGAAGTGGGCTCCCTCTAGTGTTCCTATATAGTTAGCAAATCTTTTTCGTCTTGGAAGGACACTTTCAGATGACTCAGTAATCCAAATATAGTTTCTAAATTTTCCAAGACTCATCTGTTTTGGTTGGGGCCAGTGTTGATTAAACCCAATGTTCCTCTAATTGTCATGAGTACAGTTTTATGCACAAGAAGAACACCCAAACATTGGATGCGTCATGAAAATTTCAACAGAGCCCATTCTTTTACGAAGACAGCTCAATCTGGTTGCTGCATAGGACTCCCCATGAGTGGCCCATATGAGGATAATTACCAGTGATTTGGGCCATTTCTGCGCCCACTTTCTTCAAGGCTATTCAGGTCTTATCCTCTCTTTAAGACATTTCATTCACCTTCAGATTTGACAAAGTTGAAAGATTGAAGCTATGACAAACTGGGCAGGTGGCAAAAATTTGCTTCTCATCCCCTGCACATATCTGTCTTAGCAATGTGTCACTTAATTCATAGTGACATCGTGTGCATATACTCAGCTGCTCAGTAGCCTTTGCCATGTATGATTTAAAGGTAATATTTTTTTCTCCAGGTACCTGAAAAAAATACAACAACAACAATTAATATAATCCTAATATCATGAGCCAAATGGTAGCTCCAACCAGTCAACGATTATGTTAGAGTGTGCCCCATCACACCTTAAATCCTTAAATCCAGATCATTCAGGTGAAGTCTTTAGGTAGACACTTTAAGTATGCAGGAGACCTATTTTCTTTTACTGGAAAAAGAAGTAATTTAGGCAGCTTCGCTTTACATCACCCATTGTCTGCACCAAGCCTGAGAGAAGTTGTTTAGAGTATTGCTGGGGTCTGAGTGTTCCTGCCTCTCCTAAATTTATCTGTTGAAACCTAATTACCAATATGATGCCATTAGAAGGTGAGGCCATTGAGAGGTAATTAGCTCATGAGGCTGGAGCCCTCAAGAATGAGATGAGTGCTCTTAAAGGGGCTCCAGAAAGCCACGTTGCCCCTTTCAACATGTGGGAACACAACATAAAAATGTCATTTATAAACCAGAAAATGGGCCCTCACCAGATATTGAATCTGCCAGTGCCGTGGTCATGGTTTTCCCAGTCTCCAGAACTGTGAGAAATAAATTTCTATTGTTTGTAAGCCACCCAGTTTATGGTACATTTTGTTATAGCAGCATAAATGAACTCAGACAAGAATGACTGTATTTCTTTGAGAAAATCTTGTGTGTCTTCTTCACATTTGTCATAAGCTCCATCAGTTTCCATTTATTACCTCATTTAACTCGCCCTGACGAAATAGCCTGCTTTGGCAGTATTACTTACTCAGCAAACCGTAACAACATCGGTATGATCTCTCCTCTGCTTCATCCCCTGGAAAGTATCATAGGATTTGACAGGTAAAAATTGCACAACTGTCCTTCCGTTTGCTAATGTAGTCACAACTAACGCTATTTTAACTGCAAGGGAACACGTTATAAGTGACCCCAAGGTTCTTTTAAGAACGCACAAGCCAAATTCAATGGTATAGATTCATGTCTTTTGCAGTGACTTCTCCTACTGGCTGAGTGTAGCCACAATGCTTAAACATCAACTCAGTCAAAACAAAATAAAAGTTTTCAAGAAATATGGGAGGTAATAAAGTTGCATAATTCTATTAATGTCATCACGTATACCTATGTAGAAATTCCAAAAGCTTTCCAGTAGTGTTCTTTCTTTTCTTCTTTCACCTGCAACAGGAGAACACATTTGTACTGCAGCTTTCAAGCCTTTCTCACCTCCTGAATTAAAGAACACATGACTTAATTGTTTATTCAAACTTTCCATAAGATCACTGCATTGAGGGTGATGGGAATATACTATATTCATGTAATACTATGTTTCTTTGCCCATTTCTGTATGCTAGTATTAATAATATGTGTAGCTTCATAGGAAGAAATATATCCAGGTGGGCCAAAGTGCTAGATTGTTCTCTCTATGGAACCTTTAAATGTTGGCTATTTGTTCTCCTATAGGATCAGCAAAGCCTATAATAGAATAGTTATTTCCACAACTCCACTAAGAACCCTTGTTATAGGTTTAATGTATTCTACTTGCCAGTTATTCTCAGATTCACAGTGTTATCAAAATCTTGGAAGTTTTAAAAACAACATTAGAGATAATGATTTCACTCTTTCTACTTATTCTTAAATATCATACACTGCAATAATTTGTTCTGGAACAATGGATGAACTTTCGTTGTAATTATCCACCATTGGCAGAATGGCAGTGTTATAAATTGTTATTCCATGAGGTTAATCATTCACATATTCTGTGTGACACAAAAATAGCGTTGTATATCAAATATTAAACTAACAATTTTTTAAGCCAAAAACAAAACAGTGGCAGGGCTCTATAAAATGGTATGCATGCTAACTGGTCTCCTCAATGAGTTTATGTGGTGGTTTATATTACATCACCTATTTTGCAAATAAGAAAACTAAGGTCCAGAGGGATGCCTTACTCATGGTCACTAAACTAGAAATTTGTAAATTTTACATCTAAATCTAGGTAGTCTGACTCAATTGCCTGCTGGAATTGCATAATATGTCCTTCTAGTTTTAAATATGTAGGACAAATAAGCAATAATATTCAGCCATATGCGAGATAATTTTCCCCATACTTTGCTTTCAATTGTGGAACATTTCCCTTTGATATCTTCAATACAAATATTTTGATTAATATTCTTAAAATAATTATTCATATCTTTTAACAGTGCTTTAGTCAAATAAGATAATTGCAGTGTAACATACTGATTTTTGATACGATCCTTTTAAGGAAAATAATGTAAAAAAGGAACAACCCAACTCACTTTAAACCTGAGATTTGATGAATAAAAATATGAAATGTTTCTGATGACTACTAAAGATTCATGATTAGAGTAATAGTAATAAACATATTAACCTTTTAACAATTTGATTGAATTATATTTTCCAATCTGAAATATCTAAGATGTGTAGGGAAAATAAAGAGGGAGAAAACAAACTGCTAGCCTTGGAATTTTCTGGGCTGATTTATTTGTTTCACTTCTACAATGATTTAGAAACAACTGTGCAAGGTTTCGTGTTCTGTAGATATGGTTTATGTCAGATGAATAAGCATACATTTTGGAGTTGGCATGATGGCTACTTTAATAAGCCTTCTCAACGACAGTATTTTATATCCTTGGATGGAGTAAAACACTGTGAGATACTATTTTATGTGGCATACTAAAACCTATAAGAAGGCTATATCATTAGAGAATGTAATACTGACTGAGGAAACACAGTAAAATCAATTTGTGGTGGCTCTGAAAATTTGCCACTTATGTCTTTGTATATTGATTGACCGCTCTGGCTATTGGCTCTGTGGACCCACCACAATCCACACACTACTCCTGGAGATGCCGCTTAGGGAAAGTAATATGTCTTGCTGGGACTCTTGGGATTAAGATATACAAATTATAGGAAATATTTAGATGACAATAATAACATGAGAAGAGTATTAAGAAGAAGCAGCATATTTTTAAAACTCAACTTATTCCCTATAAGTATATACTTATCTTGAGTTCAAAAATAATTTTTAAAAATCATGGGAGATGAGGCCTTTGCTTTCATGAAGTTCAGTGATGTTTTTTTATTGAGGATGAAAGACTGAAGCATCCTTATTTGCACCATTAAGAATTCTAAATAAAATAGAAAACTTATTCCTATATAATAAATTCCTAATCAATGGGGTAAAGAGTTTTTACAAATTGACACTTTCCCTATCTGTTACAAAAGACAGTAGACAATACCCAGAAACTTGCTTCCTAAATTAAATATTTACTGTATGATGTTAGGGTGTGTAAAATTGAATGTTTCCTATATTGATCACATAAGTAACAGCAATTGTGTCTCATAAGCATAGATGGCTGGATCATTGCATCTCAGAATCACTGTCAGTAAACATTATTTTCTTTGTTTCCAGCACCTACATGCAGCCTGGCAGGACCCAGATTCCTCCCAGTGATCTTACCCTGAGCCCCTGAGCAGAGACAATACATTATACTCAGATCACCTTTCATCTGTCTCCCGTAAAGCCTAGATAATGAGACTAGTGTTTGCAAATGTTTATACCAGGCAGTTCTCTTGAGCCTTGGGAAATCATGCATCCTTTGTAAAATGAAAATAGAACCAAAATTAAGTCAAAATAGGAAAACATCAAACCATTTCCTCTATCCATATATTGCTGCACTGAAATTTCTCCCATCCTTAGTCTCCTTTTTGTCTTGAAATCATATTAAAATCTCTGCCTAGTGATAAGGTAAGAAAGAGGAAGGCCTTGGTTTCTCAAAATGTGACAGAATGAAAAGTAGGAAACATGATCGACAAAAACTATAGATTAATTTAGTAAACTAATAATAGTTTCATTATTTAGGACAAAAAATGAGGTTCACCTTTGAAATTAAAACATCTTAATGCCATTAATAATTGTGCTAATTTTATTTAGTTTATTTTGTACAGGTAGTTATTTTATATATTTTAAGCATCAAATGAAAATACAAAGTATATGTTGGAATTGTCCAAATACTTCTGCTCCCACCCACTCTATTGTCCATTTACTCTGTAGATAACTTCCAACTTTATTTATTGTTGTGTTTTTGAATGTAGATTTAGATCTACATTATGAGTGAAGCATATATAAATATTTATATAATTTTTAATATTTTCATCTTAAATATAATTAAAAATATAATGGGGTATATAGCACACAGGTTTTATCATGTATAGGGCCATCAAAGTAAGAAGGTCATGCTGCCACCAGGCTTAATAAGCAGAGTGTTTTAAAGGTACTGACAGGGTTAAGGAGAACTATACAGGGTGCAAAAGTACCTAAATTGAGAAACATTATGAAGCTGTTACCACTGCTACGTCTGAAAGGCCAAGGGGAAGAATAGTTTTTAGAACCCAGAAAAGGCTGTAGATATTAAAGTTATAGTCTTTCACAGGAACTTAGGGACTGTAAAATGTGGACTCAGAAAAAAGGGAACTGTTCTAAATGCTGTTTTCCTGAGTACTGGCAGAATTTTGCCTTGGGTTGTGTTCTGCTGTGACAGAGCAGCGCTGAGTTCTAAAGCAAAGCCCCACACTCACTTTACTCTCCCTCCCCCAAGCACACAGATTCTCTCCCCACCAGGCACTGACACAGTGTAGGAGAGAAGCAATGTTGGCAAAGAGACTGTCTTTCCCACACTCTTCATTGCCTCTTTCCTTGATATTATGTTAAAATCAGGTAATATGATCCCTCACCTGGTTTTTTTGTTCTGCTCAACGTGCTTTCTTGGGTGGAGAGTTGTTTAATTTGGCGTTCTGTTGGGGTACAATCTCCAGTGGGTTCTATTCAGCCATCTTGGTCTGTCTCCCTGCTCTGTACTTTTCTATGAGCAACTGCAATATTTCAATTTCTTTCCTTTTTTCTTTTTTCAGTCCAGGAGTGAAAGTTTATTAAAAAGCTTTAAAGCAGTAAGGAAAATAAGGAAAAGAAAGGAAGGAAAGTACACTTTGAAGAGGGCCAAGTGGGTGACTTGAGAGACCAAGTGCACCCCAATTTCCTTGACTGTTTAAATGGATTTGAATCCATTTAATGTATTCATTAAATCCATTTTAATGTATTCAAATCAAAATGTTTTAAATAATTAGAATCCCCAATTTGCAGCACATATGTGTCTTGGTGGACCAGTAACCTGGAAGTTTGTCTGGATTATATTAAACGGGACTTCAGCTGCAAAAGGACAGGACTGCCTCCTGGAACTTAACAAGGTTGAAGATTCCACTAGTGACTGCATGTTTTGGTCTGTGTGTCATTCTCCCTGACTGCTAGAACATGAACTCACTTATTAACTACAGGAATTATTTGTCTCCAATACTCATGAAGTAAATGTCCATGAGATGGAGGAAATTACCTTGACTTGTTCTTGACTGAAGTCAGCATGTAGTGAAAAAGCCCTGAGCACCACATCTAATATCACATGCTTTCTAATTTCTGGGCTCGTGGGGCACAGTGTTAGACAATACTCTGATGGAGCCACAGATTAAGGACTTCCTACCAGGTTGTTGGTGCTGGAAAATAATATACCTTGTTGGTACTTCTTGTCCCAGAACCTGCCCAGCTCTCCTGAAATAGCTTGGATTTGTAATCTCTGTAACAGACTTTCAAATTAGTAAAAAATAAAGAATAATTTCTTATTTTACATTTTTTTGAAGGAACAAAATAGGATTTTTTAAAAAAGTATACCTCTTGCCAAAAATGATTATGGTGTGTTCAAATAGAAGCTTATTTAATATCACTGTAATAATCTATAAAGTAGAAATTCTTATTAGGTCCATTTTACAAAGGAGGAAATTGAAGTAAAGGAAATTTAAGGAACTTACCAAGACAATAGAATGAGGAAACTATCTCGGGCACTCTGGTATCAGGGTCTATGCTCATAGAGTCTAAACTGTACTGTCGTTTTTTTTTAACCAACAAGCAAAGGGTAGAAATTTGTTTAAGAAGAGCTGATGAAATATGGATGCTTCAATAGACAGAGGAGAAGAAACATATACTAGACATTTCTGGCCAATAACACAGACCAATCTCACCCCAAGGCTTATAAGCATTGTACACATGGCAGAAAATTTGCAATTTATCTATTTTATCTTAGTAATATTTATCATTATCCTCTCATCTTGCCTTCCTATTAGAGTCTTTCACAAATATTTTTAATCCAAGCGCCCAACCAGGTTTCTCCTTTCCCAACTCGAATTGATAGTCCAATTAAGACACTTTTGTTCTTATTGTATGCATGAGCCTTTATCAACTTTTAGAATAAGTAAACTGTGTGTTATCAAAAAAGAGCTACACTGAACAGAGGTTGAATGAGACATTAGCATGGAATTTGTTCTCTCTCATGTACCCCATAACAAAGATGTATAGTAGCCCTAAAGCTGACTTCACATAGGCATATGTTAATAATTTACCATCTGATCTATTTGTACTTTCTTCTTCATTCTTCATTATTACTGAGAGTTAAATGATTTCGCTGAAAAAGTTTTAGAGTTGACAAGTTAAGTAAATGATATATTACATGAAACTTTCTAATAGCTCAGATGATCTGCTAAATGTGCAAACACACAGGGTTTCCTTGACTAGCTATTAATCCTACTCAATCTATCAAAATTACATATTTAGTATTCTGTTCTGATATACTGTCTCTTCCCTAACAAGGAGATTAAAGATTTACCTTATGCTTTCCATTGAATAATGTCATAGTTATAAATGAGAAGAATATTCCTGCCTTCTGGATTCTTACTTCCATAGTAAGATAATTTCAAAAACATAAAAATATGTTGATTATATATATAAAAAATCTTTCTTTAGAAATGTAAAAAGATCTTATCAGTGAATATAGTCATTCCTTATTTTTTAATCTCAAACTTTTAAGAAATCATTCTTCACTAACAAATGTTTAAATAATAGTATCAGGGATATTTTAAATTTAAATTTAAATGTTAGAGACAGGCTAGGTGTAGTGGCTTGTACCTGTAATCCAAGCACTTTTGGAGGCCCACACTGGAGGATTGCTTGAGGCCAGGAGTTCAAGGTTGCAGTGAGCTGTGATTGTACCACTGTAATCCAATCCAGCCCAAATGATAGAGTGAGGCTCTGTCTCAAAAAATAAAATAAAATGAAACTTTAGAAATGGCAGAGATATAATGTAGAGATATTATAATTATGAGCTATTATGAAATATTTTATCCCATCATCTAAAATATGTATAACTTGTATATCAGTTTCCAAATACACTTTAAAAATCATTTTAAATATCATAATATTATTCAGTAAATGAGTATTCTCATCTTCATTAATTAACATGAAATACCAATCACTGTGAACAGAGACCAAATTTATCATTCTAATGGGAAATCAACAATCTATAAAATACACAGTGAGCAGACACATTACAGGAAAGTGAATTTTAAAAAGAGCTTACAAAATTGAGATATTCACGGAATGAAGAACACTCAAATTGTCTGTTTTCTTTTTATTACTATTTTCAGTTACAAATGGGTAGATAGGTGTGACATAGCTTCAAATAGATAGAAATTTAGTTTACAAGCCAAAAAAAGAAGTGAGCCCTCTTGTGGACATAGTCATAAATTGAATATGAGACCAGTTTCTCTCGTGTGTGTGTGTGTGTGTGTGTGTGTGTGTGTGTGTGTGTGTGTGTGTTTTCTCCAACCACTTTCAGCTGAATGGATGATAGCAAAGGAATAGCAAGTTAGTTGAATTTAATCAGGATTAAAGCTTTTCCAAGTAAGAGCAAAAAAAAGCAACTCAGCAGCACAGGAGTTGACAGAATATTATAATAAAAGGAGAGTCTTATGGTTTTCATGAAAATCAAACTTTGAAAGAATATAAATCATCACATAAGTGATAGGAAGTCGAAAAATAGAAAAATATTTTGATGTTCAATGATTAGAACTCCTGTTCATAGCAAAGAGTTATTGGAGTTTGGGTATTATAGGAACAGATCTATAAAAAGAAGTTGAAAGCCAGAGAGGGGAAAGACTGCATGTGCTCACCTATCAAATGTGAAGCCTTCACTGGACAACCAATATGAAATTAAAACTCTTTCTCAGAAATCTTTATTCTTTCCACTGCCTTATTTTTTATATAGCATTTATTATATTTTAATATGATAAATAATATTTATTTTCATAAATATCTCTATCCTTTCACCCCCTAAAAATAAAAGCAGAGATTTTTGTTTTATTCCCCCTTCAATGTTTTATCTCTAGTTCCCAGAAAGTTTCTAAAAATTTAATATGGTGCTATAATTACTATATCTGTCCTCATTACGACCTCGTAGAAACATTGTCTATATTACATTCTAAAACTTAAGGAGAAGCAACAAGCAGAGAAGCTGTGATTAGAATTGTTATGCTTATTAAACTGAGGAGATAACGTAAATTGATTCCTTTCTCTAACTACTGCTAATCAGGCACTACTTCTCTGGAGTTACGGCAATAGTTGAGACTAAATAAAACAAAGGGACAATTGGGACTAACCTTAACAACCTTGGAGATAGTAAAATTCCTTTGAAGGTTGAAAAGACCATTTTTTGTCATTGGAGATGTTTACTAATTATATTTACAAATCCTTCATCAAGACTTCTTTCTTAGGAAGCCCCCTTCAGAAGAGAAATTCTCTAAGTAAGGACAGTGAAATAATAAATATAATTATTTTTCTGAGCATTTATTCTTAGTTTTATTAGATTGTCTTTATTTTCATTTAGTAGGAATCAAATTATTACCTCATAAAAGAGGACAATGGTATTATTACTGTTCTAATTTTGTACTGTTTGTAGAATTATATCCTGTTATCAGACAACGAATATTAGTATTTACAAAGTCAGGAACAAACATTTTTAAATGGGGTCAGAGGAAGGGAGAAAATACTAAGCAACAGAGACAACTCTATGTTATCCTGACTTCCTTGTGTTTTAAGGGAAAAATAAACAGCACAGACTTGGATTACTGTGATTAGTTTTCAATGCTCAAAGAGTGCAAATAAAATTCAATAATCAGATTCACATTACATTATCAGAATAGTTAGAATCTCACGGTATGCAGGGCTCAATCACCTTAAAAGTAAGATTGTCAATATCGTTAGTTAAAAAACTAATTTTCTTCTACTTCTTATTTGTAGGCATTAAAAACTGTATCACAGACACATGAATATTGTGTGAGTATTTCAAAGTAAATTTGGATTAAAATTCATCAAATTCATGACATACATGGAGTTCCCTGAAGCATTATTTCATATTTCCGGATTTTCAAAGTGACTACATATTCAAGCATGTATATATACAAGCATGTAAGTTACCTAGAGTTTTTGCATCATACTGAAGATGCATTAGCAGAGGAATTTAATAAAATATGCACAGCAATGCTTAAATTATCTTAAGCACAAGCAAATATTATCTTCAAATCTTTGTCATAAGTGTTTTATATACATACGCAAATAAGGTAGAAAACTATTTTAATATGTGAACTATTTACTAGAAAAGATATCATTTGTATATTTAAATAGTATATATTAGCAGCTCCTATGGATTTATTGTGATTTACAGTGGGGAGCCTGTAGACGGTATCTTAAGGATGTTTGGATATGTTTTTTTTTTTCTCCTCCACATTTAAATTTTAAAACTTCAATAACTTTTGCATAATTTTATACTGTTGTTGCATGTATTAATATTAATATTTGATTGTTAAAGAGAGCCATGTTGTTGTCATCATGGGTAGCTTAAACAATTGAAATTTATTTTCTCACAATTTTGGAGGCTGGAAATCCGATCTTGCAGTGCCATTTCTGTGAGGGCTGTCTTTCCAGCTTGTATATGTCCCCCTTCTTGTTACATCCTTATATGGCCTTTTCACAATCTTCGCATGGATAGAACAAGCCAGCTCTCTGATGTCTCTTCTTTAAAGGACACTAATTCCATTGGATCTGGATTTATGCTCCTCACCCCCATCTCCTCCTATAACCTCATTTAATCTTAATTATTTCCTTAGAGGCCTCATCTCCAAGTATTACCACACTGAGGGTCAAGACTTCAACATATGGTGGAGAGCAGGAGGTGAGGACACAAACATTCAGTCTATATTAATGCCAGAGCATATAATTTTGATTATGATTATGATACTAGTTACATAGGAGTCATGTTGTAAAAGCTCAGATTATATGTGGAACATGCACGAGATGGTTACTGTATAGGTTTCTAGGCAATTTCATTGAAGTTGTGGTTATGATGATGAACTGCCATTTAAATACTTCTATGGTCACTGAAAATACATATTATATATTATATATAGTATGATTGACTGCATTTTCTATTTGAATAATTACTACAGCCACATAAATATCTATTTGTTATGTTTAAGTAATATCAGTATATAATCGTCTTTCAGCATTAAAAATAATCGAAATTATATTTATCTTTTAACTCCAAAATTTAAACTTTTTCTGTTTATGTACCAATTTAAAATGATATTTAAACTTTCAGATTACTAAACATAGTACATATTTCTACTATAGAAATGTATATGTCCTTATGTTTAGACATAACCTTGTTTTATTATGAGACAGTACTACTAAGGTCGTATCAGTTCTTTGGATTTAAGGCCAGTTACCTTTATGTCAGCAAGGTTTCCAAGCCTCTAGGTCCCTATCTGTCCTCCTGACGTCTGTCTGGAGAGAGTTCATGTCTTTCTGTCTGTCCCCTGTTTTTTCTTCACTTCATGTGTTACGATGCTGTTCTCTAGCTATTTGGTCATCACCTATGAGTTTTCTAATAGATGTTTTTGGTGATACTGTTTGCTAAAACTGTGCTAATAAATGTGTTAGACAGTTAAGATATAGATACTTTACAAGCATGATGGAGAAATTATTTTTAAAGAAATTGCTGTTTAGAGAAGATTGACCCTATTTCAATGGCAACAGATAGCTCAAGAATTAGGTGAGGGTGATCACCTGGGTCAGTAAGAAAGAGGTCAGTTACTCATTTTTTCAAAAACCCCTGCCTTTTTCATTGAACTATGGGAGAAAACTGACATTAAAAAGAAAGAAATAAATACAAGAAAAACTAAGAAGGGACTGTGGATCTAGCGAAACAAAAAAATCGCTTCCGTTTTTGGTGGGTGGTGTTGGATAGATGGGATGGTTATCATCGCTTATAGGAGACAAAGGAAGTAGGCAGATTTTGCCACCTGAAAGAAGACAAATTGAAAAACTAAAAATTGGCTGGGTGTGGTGGTTCATTGCTGTAATCACAGAAATTTGGGAGGCAGAGGTGAGTGGATCACTTGAGGCTGGAAGTTCAAGACCAGCCTGGGCAACATGGTGAAATGCTGTCTCTACTAAAAATACAAAAATTAGCTGGGTGTGGTGGTACATGCCCATAATCCAAGCTACTTTGGAGACTGAGGCATGAGAATCACTTGAACCCAAGAGGCAGAGGTTACAGTGAGCTGAGATTGCACCACTGCACTCCAGCCTGGGCAACAGAGTGAGACCCAGTCTCAAATAAATAAATAATAAACATAAATAGATAAAAATAAATAAAAACATGTTCCTCTGGTAAAAGCATTAGAGAAATTACTTTAAAAAAAGGTTGTTTTATATACTTGTTTAGCAAAATTAAGCTAATTTTTGTATCGTTATTTTAGATAAAAACTGTACTGTGCCACTAGCTAGACTAATAAAGAATAAGAGAGAGAAGAATTAAATAGACACAATAAAAACTGATAAGGGGCATATCACCACTGATCCCACAGAAATACAAACTACCATCAGAGAATACTATAAACACCTCTACGCAAATAAACTATCTAATCTAGAAGAAATGGATAAATTACTGGACGCATACATTCTACCAAGACTAAACCAGAAAGAAGTTGAAACCCTGAATAGACCAATAACAAGCTCTGAAATGGAAGCAGTGATTCATAGCTTGCCAACCACCCCCCCCCCCAAAAAAAAAACTACCACAACAACCCAGGACCAGACGAATTCACAGCTGAATTTTACCACAAATACAAAGAGGAGCTGGTACCATTCCTTCTGAAACTGTTCCAAACAATTGAAAAGGAAGGACTTCTCCCTAACTCATTTTTTGAAGCTAGCATTATCCTGATACTACAACCAGGAAGAGACACAACAACAACAAAAACCTTCAGGCCAATATCCCTGAGGAACATCGATGAGAAAATCCTCAACAAAATACTGGCAAACAATTCAGCAGCACATCAAAAAAACCTTATCTACCACGATCAAGTCGGCTTCATCCCTGGGATGCAAGGATGCTTCAACATATGCAAACCAATAAACGTAATCCATCACATAAACAGAATCAAAGACAAAAACCCCATGATTATCTCAATAGATGCAGAAAAGGTCTTTGATAAAGTTTAACATCATGGTTTAAGTTAAATGATTTAACATCATTTAACTTCACGTTAAAAACCCTCAATAAAATAGGTAATGATAGAATATATCTCAAAATAACAAAATCTATGAAAACCAACAGCCAATATCATACTGAATGGGCAAAAGCTGGAAGCATTCCCTTTGAAAACCAGTACAAGACAAGGATGCCCTCTCTCACCACTCTTATTCAACATAGTATTGTAATTGTGACTTCAAAAGGTCATCCACTGTTCTACCAATCCAGCTGCTCAGCTGCTTCAGGATAATACGGAACATGGTAAGACCAGTGAATTCCATGAGCATAAGCCCACTGCCACACTTCTTTAGTCATAAAGTGAGTGGCTTGGACAGAGGCAATGCTGTGTGGAATACCATGATGGTGGATAAAGCATTCCGTGAGTCTATGAATGGTAGTCATGGCAGAAGCATTGTGTACAGGTTAGGCAAATCCGTATCCAGAGTAATCGTTTATGCCTGTGAGGACAAACCTCTGCCCTTTCCCTGATGAAAGAGATCCAATATAATCAACCTGCCACCAGGTAGCTAGCTGATCACCCCAAGGAATGGTGCCATATCGAGGGCTCAGTGTTGGTCTCTGCTGCTGGCAAATTGGGCACTCAGCAGTAGACGTAGCCAGGTCAGCCTTGTTGAGTGGAAGTCCATGTTCCTGAGCCCATGCATAACCTCCATCCCTGCCACTATGGCTACTTTCTTCAAGGGCCTATTGGGTGATGATGGGGTGGCTGGGAAAAGAGGCTGAGTGGTGTCCACAGCACGGGTCATCGTATCCACTTAATTATTCAAACCCTCCTCCCCTGAGGTCACTCATTGGTGAGTACTCACATGGGATACAAATATCTTCACAGTTTTTGACCACTCAGAGAGGCTCATCCACCTACCTCTTCTCCAAATTTCTTTGTCACCAAATTTCTAATCATGTTTCTTCCAAGAACCTGACCATTAAGCCAAACCATTGGCTACAGCCCATAAATCAACATGTAATCGCACATCTGGTCATTTCTACTTCCATGCAAAGTGCACAACCAGGTGCACTGCTTGAAGTTCTGCCCACTGGGAAGATTTCCCTTCACCGCATCCTTCAGGGATGTCCTACCTTGGGGCTGTGGTGCTGCAGCTATCCACTTTTGGGTGGTGCCTGCATATCGTGCAGAACCATCTGTGAACCAGGCCCTAGTCTTTTCTTCCCCTGTCAACTGATTATAGGGAACTCCTCATGAGACCCTCAGTGCAGGATGAGGGAGAGAAGGCAGGGTGACAGGAGTGGAGACCATGGGCATTTGAGCCACTTCCTCATGTAACTTACTTGTGTCTTCAGGACCTACTCGAACCTGATCATATATATAGCCACTTCCATTTGATGATGGAATGCTGCTGTGCATGACCCACTTTATGGTTAGATGGGTCAAAAAGCACCCAGTTCATGATAGGCAGTTCAGGTCGTATGGTGACTTGATGACCCATAGTCAAATGTTCAGTTTCCACCGAAGCCCAGTAATAGGCCAACAGCCATCTCTCAAAAGGAGGGTAGTTATCTGCAGAAGATGGCAGAGCCTTGTTCCAAAATCCTAGAGGCCTCTGCTGTGACTAACTTATGGGGGCCTGTCAGAAGCTCCAAGCAGCATCCGTATCTGCCACTGACACCTCAAGCACCATTGTATTTGCTGAGTCATATTACCCAAGTGGCAGAGCAGCTTGCACAGCAGCCTGGACCTGTTGCAGAGCCTTCTCCTTTTCTGGACCCCACTCAAAACTGGCAGCCTTTTGGGTCACTTGATAAATGAGTGGGAGTAACACACCCAAATGCAGAATGTGTTGCCTCCAAAATCCAATAGGCCCACTAGGCGTTGTGCCTTTTTCTTGCTTGTAGGAGGGGCCAAAATGCAGCAACTTTTTCTTCACCTTAGAAGGAATATCTCAAGAGGGCCCACACCACTGGACCATTGGAAATTTTACTAAAGTAGAAGGTCCCTGAATTTCAGTGAGATTTATTTCCCATCCTCTGGCACACAAATGTCTCACCAATAAGTCCAGTGTGTTTGCTACTTCTTGCTCACTGTATCCAATCAGCATAATGTCATTAATGTAATGGACCAGAGTGATATGTTGTGGAAACAAAAAGCAATCAAGTTCTCTCCAAATAAGATTATGACCCAAAGCTGGAGAGTTGATATACCTCTGAGGTAAAGGTATACCCCTCAGGGGTAAAGGCATATTGCTGGGCTTGCCAGCTAAAGGCAAATTGCTTCTGGTAGGCCTTATGGACAGCTAACCAGGCAGACAAAGTATTAGAAACTTTTTTAACTCCCTGAGCTGCATCATTAAAAGCAGAGTACCTACTTAGTGGGTTCAAATCAATAAATTCAGCCTGACCCAACTCTATGTTCCTTCCACCATTATCCCATAACCTTAATATCCATTCTGATGCCTGTTCTCCAGGTTTCTGTTTACATAAATTAACAGTTCTTTTCAAGTGTAGCATGCAACCTCACCTCAAGGGACCTGCCAGGACTTTAGTTAGATAACTAGAAGCAAACAGGGGTTTTGGGGGTGGTTCCTGGGGAGAATCAACATTATTTTGCCTGGTAACTGCCCCAGGGAAGGCCCTCACTGTTGCCTCAGGCAGCACAGGGTTTATCTCCTCAGACAAAGGTGTAAAGGCTGATGGCAGCATGGGTCTAGGAGGGGATGTTGCCACTACAGGGGACGGTGAAGCTGTTCCTTCAGGCAAATAAGGTTCATCAGAGTTTACAAACTCAGTGGCCCCAGTTTCATCAGGGTCTTCCCATACTTCCCCATTCCAAGTTGCAGGGTCACATTCTTTTCCAGTAATGCCCTCCTTTTAACAGTAGACACCTGGTGAGGCTGTGCATGCACCTTTCATTGCAGGTCAGCCCCTCATGTGTTAAGAGCTTGTGTCTCTTTTTCCAAAGTTTCAGCTCTTTGTCTACAGGAGATAAAACTCTCACTCAGTGCAGTCTTAGCAGTTTTAAGGCTCAGTATCTGCTTCTGAAGCCGGGAGACAGAATCCCTGAGTTCATCATTTTCTTTAATCACTTTGTCCACTGAACTTAGGAGCAAGCTACCAGTTTCATTATGTTCCTTGATTCTCCACATGTGGTCAAAGGTATTATGGATAGAGTAACTAAACTCCTTGTCTCTCACAAGTGGTGAATCAGGAGTGTCAAATGTGTTTATTTTGCATAACTCTGTAAACACTTTATGCCAAGGACTATCAGTGTTCTCCATACTATTAGGTAGAGTCCTCAGCATTTTGGGGTCTAATAATATTAAGAAGCCAACTCCAGAAACCCCAAAACCAAAAAAAGAACTCCATCCTTAATATTCTGTTCCTCTAGAACCACTCCTTATACCAAAATCTGTATTAGCCAGGGACTATGTATGTGTATGTGTGTATATATATGTCTATATATATATACACACACATACACATACATATACATATATGTATGTCTGTATATATATATAAAATATAAATATATATGAGTTTATTAATTATTAACTTACATGATCACAAGATCCCACAACATGCTGTCTGCGTGCTTGAGGAGCAAGGAGAGCCAGCCAGAGTCTCAAAACTGAAGAACTTGACGTCTGATGTTTGAGGGCAGGAAGCATCCAGCACAGGAGAAAGATGTAGGCTGAGAGGCTAGGCCCATCTCTCCTTTTCACGTTTTTCTGCCTGCTTTATATTTGCTGGCAGCTGATTAGATGGTGCACACCCAGTTAAGGGTGGCTCTATCTTTCCCAGCCCACTGACTCAAATGTTAATCTGCTTTGGCAACACCATCACAGATGCACCCAGAATTAATACTTTCTATACTTCAATCCAATCAAGTTGACACTCAGTAGCAACCATCACATATGATTAAAAAAAAACTTTCAAACAAATAGAAAAGTAAAATGTGTCATTTCTCTGAAAACTATCATAAAAATTGATTATAAAAGTAATAAAATTAAAAAAACAAGATTAGAAATGAGTCTTTAAGCACATAAATATGAAATGCTAATTGTATTTTGTCTCTATAAATGTAGTCATATACTAAATATAAGCAAATATTTTATATATAATCATAAATCTTTAATCTGAAGTTATGAATTCAATTATTATATAATTCACATGACAGGGTAATTAAATTTAAGATATATTCATTTTCTTATCAAACATTTGGGACAAAGGAATTTACCTTGAGCTCTTAACATGATCATATATGATCCCATTTTGTTTATGATGGCAAAAACTAGTGCTACCAAAATGAAGAACCTGTTTTTTGCTATCAAATTAGCTCAGAAGCAAGTAAACTAAAAAAAAAAAAAAAAAAAAAAAAAAAATACATTTACAGAAAAGTCAGTAATTAAAGCAATATTAAAAATAAAAGTCTAGAGTAAAATTTAAGGTAACTTTATTTGTGTAAAAATGGTAAAGACACACAGAATGTTATAATTTGTATTTATAAATTAGTCTAAAATTAAACATTATCTTGAATCTTTACATTTTTACTCTAATCTTGTATTTATTTTTTATTCAGAAAAGCAATAACTAGTACTACATATGACTTATTTCTTTATTTTATATATTTCAGATGTTATTTTTATATATTTTTACTTAGAGATACATATCATAAAATGTTTAAAAAGTAAAGTACTTGAATTAGAGACCATATTATAAAAGTAAATTGACATTTTGGAAACAAGTAATTGATATGAATAATACAAGATTTTTGTTCTATGATATAGTGAATAATTTAATAAATTTTAATTTATATTATTTACATGTGCCACTTAGACACTTTTACTTGAATATTTTATTTCTATTATTCAGCTGTTAATAAATTAAGTTCTTGTAAAGCCAGTGGTTAATCCAATAGTTTCTGGAACATAGTAAAAAGTCAATAATTCCATTGTTTTTTGATGTCAAGCAGAAGCTGCCTTCTTTTCCCTTGTAAAATTTTGTTCTTCATAGTAAAAATACTGAATTAGTGCCAGCACATTCTCAGCTTAGTTTGCAAAGAGGTTTGGCATTACAACTAATTATGGACAGTGAGTCCTGTGGGAATGATATGCATAGATTATAGGCACCACCTTAAGAAGAAGATTGCCCTTCACATCTTCAGTTCTGCAGGCTAGAAGGCAGAGATATTGAGCCACTTGGTGATGCATACTAGGGATACAACTTAGGGAGTGTTTCACAAGCTAGAAATATTGAAAGAACCTAGATGTCTTTGTGGAGCAGAGTTTTCTACTCACTCTGGACTAAAAATTATCCTCTGTGCCATTACATAAAAATAAAGAAATGGCTGTCCTGTGTTGGAACTCTTTGTTACAGAGGCTTAACTTATACTCCATGAATATATAAAATTGATAATTGGAAGCGTGTGCTATTATAACAAAAAAGTCTAAAATACACATTGTTGGCTTAGCAGTTGGCATAGAGGCAGTATACATAGTGCAAAATAGAAAGTTGGTCATCTTCATCTTGGCAATTACAGGTGTTAAGACTGTCACCTGTGATAACTTAGAACACAGAACATGGGCTTATTGAACTTGTAGTTCTGTAAAAGTGATTAGAAAAACTACAATTACTGGTACTCCTTGATGCTTCTAGCAGAGTGATACAAGAGACTGATTGATTCTAGCAAAAATCCGAATTTGCTAGTAGAAATGGAAGGGAATTCCACACCTCTCTGAGGAAATTTCTGTGATTATGGCCTGCAATTTAAATTGGTTGAACTTTTGGTAATGTTGGTCCTCAAAGTTGGAAAAATCAAGGGCTTCTGGAGCCCAAACAGCAGGAGATAGGATTGTCATTGAGTCTTTTTTCAAGACCCTACAGTTAAGTGAAAGACAGTGAGAGCCAGCTCAACTCCAAAGAAGAGATGAATGGTACGGCTCTCCCCAATTCACTCCATGCCTGCTATTTCAGCTGATCTGTCTTAGGAATTGTGACCAGATGTGATCAGCTGCTGTTAATATCGTGGCAAGCAAATAGACCAAAATCCTCTGAGGATATCTGTATCCCCAAAGATACATAAACTTCAGTCTATAAACTTCATTGCCCACTTTAGATGGGGCCAAAGAGGATAGTGTAGTAGAATGGTTTTTCTTCATTGGAAATCCAGGGGTCATGGAGGATAACACACAAGAGAATTTCAAAGGGAGAATTAAGAGTTGCCCAATGTGCTAATCATGAAAATTTCTCCATAAAGAGAAGGGAGTTTCTATAATTTCTGTAAAGTAATTCATAACTACTATGAAATACTGACTGCAGTGTGCTTTCCATTCTTCACATTTTTTTCTTTTTGTAATTATCCTTCCTACTTCACCAATTTATATTGGGTAGAGCAAACTATTTTTAGTGTAACAATCACCAGGAAATAAAAAGACATATCATCTTGATTTGCTAAAAAGTATAGGGCCTACCCCAAGCACTTGGATGATGAGATGGATTCAGTAAGTAGTAGTTTATTTAGAAAGTTATTGACAATGACATACATAGAAATGTCAGTATACCAGGGTAAACATTTTTAACTGCTTCCTAATTTTTTTGCCTGCTGTTTTTGTTTTGTTTCCTTTTGTTTTTAGAAATTGTATTAGTGCACTTTCACGCTGTTGATAAAGACATACCTGAGACTGGGCAATTTACAAAAGAAAGAGGTTTAATTGGACTTACAGTTCTACATGGCTGGGGAAGCCTCACAATCATGGCAGAAGGCAAAAAGGAGCAAGTCCTGTCTTACATGGATAGCAGCAGGCAAAGAGAGAATGAGGAAGACTCAAAAACAGAAATCCCTGATAAAACCATCAGATCTCATGAGACATATTCACTACCATGAGAACAGCATGGGGGAAACCACCCCAATGATCCAATTATCTCCTACCAGGTTCCTCCTACAAAATGTGGGAATTATAGTAGTACAATTCAAGATGAGATTTAGATGGGGACATAGAGCCAAACCATATCATTCCACCCCTGGACCCTGCCAAATCTCATGTAAATCACATTCCAAAACCAATCACACCTTCCCAACAGTCCCCCAAAGTCTTAACTCGTTTCAGCATTAACTCAAAAGCCCATAGTCCAAAGTCTCACCTGAGACAAGGCAAGTCCCTACTGCCTATGAGCCTGTATAATCAAAAGCAAGATAGTTATTTCCTAGATATAATGGGGGCACAAACACTGGGTAAATACAACAATTCAAATGAGAGACATTGGCCAAAACAAAGGGGCTGGTGGGGGCGGGGCGTGCAAGGCTGAAATCCAGTGGGCCAGTCAAATTTTAAAGCTCCAAAATGACTTTGACTCCATGTCTTACATTCAGGTGACGTTGATGCAAGAAGTAGGTTCCCATAGTCTTGGGCAGTTCCACCCTGTGGCTTTGCAGGGTATAGCCCACCTCCTGGCTGCTTTCATGGGCTGGCGTTGAGTGTCTGCAGCTTTTCCAGGTGCATGGTGCAAGCTTTCGGTGGATCTACCATTCTGGGATCTGGAGGACGGTGGCCCTCTTCTCACAGCTCCACTAGGTGGTGCCCTGGTAGGGACTCTGCATAGGGGCTCTGATCCCACATTTCTTTTCCACACTGCCCTAGCAGTTCTCCATGAGGGCTCTGCCCCTGTGTGAACTTCTGCCTAGGCACCCAGACATTTCTATACATCTGAAATCTAGGCAGAGGATCACAAACATCAATTTTTGGCTTCTTTGCACTTGAAGGCTCAACACCACATGGAAGCTGCCAAGGCTGGATGTTTGCATGCTCTGAAGCCACAGCCTGAGCTTGATGTTGGCCCCTTTCAGCCACAGATGGAGTGGCTGGGATGCAGGGCACCAAGTCCCTAGGCTGCACACAGCATGGGGACCCAGGCCTCAGCCCATGAAACCGTTTCTTCCTTCCAGGCTTCTGGGTCTGTGATGGGAGGGGCTGCCAAGAAGACCTATGAAATGCCCTGGAGACATTTTTTCCACTGTCTTAGGAATTAACGTTCGGCTCCTTGTTACTTATGCAAATTTCTGCAGCCATCTTTAATTTCTCCTCAAAAAATGTTTTTTTTTCTTTTCTACTGCATTGTCAGACTGCAAATTTTCTGATTTTATGCTCTGTTTCCCTTTTAAAATGGAATGTTTTTAACAGCACCCAAGTCACCTCTTGAATGCTTTGCTGCTTAGAAATTTCTTCCACCAGATATCCTAAATCATCTCTCACATTCAAAGTTCCACAAATCTCTAGGGCAGGGGCAAAATACCACCAGTCTCTTTGCTTAAACATAATAAGAGTCACCTTTGCTCCAGTTCCCAGCAAGTTCCTCATCTTTATTTAAGACCACCTCAGTCTAGACATCATTGTCCATGTCACTATCAGCAATTTTGTCAAAGCCATTCAACAAATCTCTAGGAGGTTCCAAACTTTCCCACATTTTCCTGTCTTCTTCTGAGCCCTCTAAACTGTTCCAACCTCTGCCTGTTACCCAGTTTCAAAGTCGCTTCCACATTTTCAGGTATCTTTTCAGCAACACCCGACTCTACCGATACCAATTTACTGTTTTCACACTGCTGATAAAGACTTATTCACTACATGAGAACAGTATTGGGGAACCAACCCCATGATTCAATTACCTCCCATCTGGTCCCTCCCACAACATGTGGGAATTATAGAAGTACAATTCAAGTTGAGATGTGGGTGGGGACACAGCCAAACCATATCTGAAATAGAATCATCAAGTTTTAGCCAGGCGCGGTGGCTCATGCCTTTAATCCCAGCACTTTGGGAGGCGGAGATGGGTGGATCACGAGGTCAGGAGATCGAGACCATCCTGGCTAACACGGTTAAACCCCATCTGTACTAAAAATACAAAAAAAAAAAAAAATTAGCTGGGTGTGGTGGCGGGCACCTGTGGTCCCAGCTACTCGAGAGACTGAGGCAGGAGAATGGCATGAACCCAGGAGGCGGAGCTTGTAGTGAGCCAAGATCGCACCATTGCACTCCAGCCTGGGCCACAGAGCAAGACTCTGTCCCAAATAAATAAATAAATAAATAAATAAATCGTGAAGTTTCAAATAAGTACACGGCAACACAGCACTAATGCACTCCCAGCTTCCCTTGGATCTAATGATGGTGGCCACCTAACTTATTCTGAGCTCTTGGATGCAGAAAGGAGATAAGCAACTTATTTGGATCATATGCAAAAGAGAAAATTACTTGTCCTCTATTTCTTCTTTCTTTTGCAAGCTGCAATATTGACACAGTAGGAATGATTCTATTTGACCATTTAAATGAGTAAAACACCCTAAGGGACAGTAGAATTATATGATCAAATAAACTGGGTTTTAGATAACCTCTTAGACTAGAGGCAGTTAGTCACTGTGATCTGTCCATTTATCTGCAGGGTTCCTTTCTTGAAAATTTTGTAAAAAAGTTTCTCTCTCTTCTACTCATAACTTTACTTTGGAAAATTCTGGGACCAACCCAATTTTCAAATCTTAATTTGTGGCATGCCATTTTAACTACGTACTTGACAATTCTTTTTTTATCTTTGAAGTGCAAGCAACTGACAAGGATATGACTAAGTTTGATTACTCTACCACATTTTCCTGGGATGGTGTATGGCATTTCAATCTATAGATTCATGATTTCTTTTACTTGAATTTCTGCATTATTTATTGTTCAAGTAGAAAAGTATATGCTCACTAGCCAATATTCCAAACATTGGAAATGTCTGGTTTTCTTCATGGTATGTGGGTTTTCTATCCCTATCATGCACATTCTCATGACCTTTGCAAGTTAAAGTAACACAAAACTACAGAATATAAATTAGCTCACATGTCTGACAGTGATAATATTGAGCTAAAATCAAGGCATCAGCAAAGATGCACTGCTTTCTGGGGGATCTGGGGGGTGCTTTGTTTCTTGCTTTTTATAACTTCTAGAAGATCCCTGAATTAATTAATTGGCTCATGACGCTTTCCTTCATCTTTAAAGCTGGGAACTCACATCTCTCTGACCCTTCCTCTTTCCTCATTTTTCTTTGTCTAGCCACAGCCCAGAATGGTCCTGTGCATTTAAGAATTCATACGATTAATTCAGACCCAACTGGACAATTGAGACAATCTATCCATCTCAAGGTTCATAAACTTAATCATATCTGCAAAATCTTTCTTGCCGGGTAACATAATATATTCATATGTCCTCAGGATTTGAAAGTGGATACCTTTGGGGGCTGTCTACTATACAGGGTTGATGATTTCCTTTTGTTTGTTTCACTGCTTTGGTCGCTCTTCGTGGGACATGACCTAACATCTTTGTATGGCTTGTGAGCTTCTTTTCTCCTTAAATTAACTCTACCGTGATCCATTTTATCTTTTTCTGGTTAGTAATCCTGTCCTTTATATCATTTACATTGTTTTCAACAGTGTCTATTCTCCTACACTGCTTTAAATGTAGCCTTCATTACTGATGTTTTTATTTTACACTTTCATCTTTTTCCTCAGTTCTGTCATCTTTGGAATTATTTCCTTATATTGTCTAACTGTATTTCTGTCAGCTTCTGCAGCTTTTTGTTTGTTTGTTTTTGTTTTTGTTTTTTGAGACGGAGTTTTCTCTGTCTCCTAGGCTGGAGTGCAGTGGCACAATCTCAGCTCACTGCAACCTCTGCCTCCCGGGTTGAAGCTATTCTCCTGCCTCAGCCTCCTGAGTAGCTGGGACTACAGGCACATGCCACCATGCCTGGCTAATTTTTTTGTATTTTTAGTAGAGACAGGGTTTCACCATGTTAGCCAGGATGGTCTCGATCTCCTGACCTTGTGATCCGCCTGCCTCGGCCTCCCAAAGTGCTGGGATTACAGACGTGAGCCACCGTGCCCGGCCTGTAGCTTCTTTAGTTCTTCATTTTGTGGTGTGGTTATCTCATTATTGTTATTATATTATTAGTAGCAATTCATTTGGCTAAATTCTTAACTTCTCTTGATTTGTTGTACAAAGTTCCAGAAGTTTTGGAAGCTTTGTTTGTTATTTTACCTTTGTTATTTTTTTCTTGAAGTGATATTGTCTAGTTTCTGTAATTATTTCTTAGTTTGTTGATTTTTTTAATAATGGGATGACAAATAACTAGAAAAGCAAATAGAGAGAATTAATGTGAAGGAGAGACAAGGACTATGTGACTGGCTATTAGTAATTCTCCAGGTTGTACGAAGAACTTAGGTATGCCATACGATCATATTTGTACAGATATAATACATATACACAGAGTTATATATTTACAGTATATATTTCAAGTCAGTTTACAACTCCAAAGTTATCCACTATGCCTCAATAATGGTCCTTTTCATGAGAATTCATATATATAATTTACAATTCAGGGCCATTTTCTTTGAATCTTCCTGATGTCAAATACAGCCTCACCATCAGTTCTTACAACCTGGTTTAATTTCTCTACATCGATTCTGAAATACAACTTGAAGCTTTTTTTCCTTAAATGTGCCATATTATTTAGGGAAAGGTGCTCTGTTGGCTTTGTGGGATGTATGCAACCTAAAAAGCTTTCTCAGAATCCTTCCTTATGCTTACTTGAACTTTTCTTTATTTGGTATTATATTTTCCTAGATACTACATAAGAAAGGTATCAAAGTATCCTGGTATTGTGGAATATAGAGTTTGGATTATTGCTTTTTTTTTTAACATTGTCATTATTTGTATTAGAACGACATCATCTTTTCTCTTTGTTTCCTTTTGAATAAATTTCCTAAGAAAGAATATTCACTATATGTACATATAACATTAATACAAGTTAAACTTTAATTCCTTAGTGGAAATAGTAAGTGTAAATCTAACAAACTTAATATTCACTTGAAAATGTATGTACATGTGTATATATATATAAACCAATTACTTATATATAAAGTAATTATTTATACATATAATATAAATTAATTTAATTTATATTCTGCATCTCCAACACCAAGCTATCTCATATATTTATTTTACATTTGAAAATAACACACCTGGATGACTGACCGAATTTTTCGTTCTTTAATTACTGTTTCAAATGTTAACCAAGCTACTGAAACAAGTTAATCTATAAGCAAATATAATAATAACATTGAAATTATTAATACATTAATTATTTTATTTGCAATTGAGTGATCATATTTAAATTACTCCTAGTTGGAAGTTTTCAAAGAGATCTATGTTTTCTTAATTAATTTCAGAGGAAAAGACTTTTGCTGTAGGAAGTTTTTAAGCATTTTCCAATTTATCTCAATTTCTAATGATAACATAATGAGGAAGGATTTACAATTAGCTTAGCTTGCTTATTGATCGATTGCCTTTGTTTCATTTTATTATGCTAGCACTATCAAAGTTTATATGTTCATAACTTTCATTTTATAATTTCACAATTTCTCTTTAAATTCATTTTCCTAGTATAACAATATATGTTGGAGAATATTTCTTTCCATTTTTTTTCTCACTGAAATGAAAGAATTATACAGCATAGTGAATCAATTAAAACAAAAAGCAGGTTTAAAAAATCTACTAGAACTCTCCTGTCAGGTACGTAAGAAGCTAGAAATCACCACTTCATCCAAACAACAAAAGCTGAACAAACAAAAAAATTCCTTAGGTTTCTCATAGAAATGCGGTCACAGGGCAAACCACTGCTCACCAAATTGGAGAGACCTACAGGTGAGGGCCAAAGTCTTGGTTTACCAGAGCAGAAACCTTCAAGCACGAACCTCAAAGATAACCCATATTGGTGTAGGGAAACTTGCGTTATAAGTGATTAATTTCTGGAGGCTTAGTGTGGACAAGTTAGTGTAGGCTAAAATTGTGTCTTTCCCTTCTCCGAGTTCAGCTGGGTTCTCATTAAACCAAGCAGGTTAGTCTCTGGTTAAATACTTTCTACTGCAGGTAGAACAAATTTTACAAATCACATCTCTGATTTCACGAATCAGATATGAAATATCATCCCTGAGACATGACAACTCCAAGGGGACTCAGTCACCGGAGGATCCCACATTTTGTGAAATTTACCAGCTTGACCCTGTCCTTACAGTAAATATCAGAGAAAATTTCCCTGATTTTTCTGGCAGGGGGAGGGGAAAGATAACCATTTTGAAATACTTCAGAGCATCTGTTTTTCTTAACAAGACCTACCTGCAGGAGAAACTGTTTTTACCAGAGACTAACCTGCTGGGTTTAATGAGAACCTAGATGGATTCAGAGAAGGCAAAGACACAGTTGTAGCCTACTCTAGACATTCTTTCTCACCAAAGACAGGCAGGTGGATTTTAGAAGCATGTATGAAGTTCACAGTTCACTGGTACAGACTTACTAAATCTGCTCATGGGACTATAGAACACTTCTCTCTTTGCCACCCCACATCTCACAACCACATTACTAAAGGTTACTTCAGCCTTTACAGATGTTTCTTTCACTGAATATATCAAGAGTTTGCTCATCTCAACAATGAGCTACCACTACACATTTCTTTAAAATTCAAAACACTGACAACACTTAACGCTGGTGAGGATGTAGAACAACAGGAATTTCCAATTATTGCTGATGCAAATACTAAGTGGTATAGCCACTTTGGTAGGCAGTTTGGTGATTTATTATACAACCAAACATACAATAATAATACAGTCTAGCAATTACAGCCCTTGGTATTTGCTCAAAAGAGTAAAAGAACTCATGTCTACACAAAAAACTGCACATGAATGTTCACAGCAGCTTTATTCATAATTGATAAAATGTCAGACAGTTTGGGTATGGTTTGTCTGGCCCTGCCAAATCTCCTGTTGAAATTTTCTCACCAGTGTGGGAGGTGGGGCCTGATGCGAGGTGTTTGGGTTGTGCGGGTGGATCCCCTGTGTATGGCTTGGTGCTGTTATTGCAGCCATGAGTGGGTATTCACTCAGTTTCCAGAAGAACTTGTAGAAAAGAGCCTGACACCTCCTCTGTTCTCTCTTTTGCTTCCTCTCTTGCTAGGTCATTTGCACACACCAACTCCCCTTAACCTTCTGTCATGAGTGGAAGCAGCCTGAGGCCCTCACCAGAATGAGGTGCTGGTGCCATACTTCTTATACAGCCTGGAGAACTGTGAGCCAAATAAACCTCTTCTCTATAAATTAGCCAGCTTCAGGTATTCCTATATAGCAGCACAAACAAAATAAAACAATGTTCTTCGGCAGGTGAATGGGCAAATAAACTGTGGTGCCTGATAGTGAAAGATATTCAGTGTTAAAAAGAAATACGTTTCAAGCCATGAAAAGACATGGAGGAAACATAAATACATATTTCTAGGTGAAAATGCTTGTAGGATACATTTTAATAATTAATTTATTATAGTAACATTTATAATTATTTTGGCATTAAAATTATTTTTTGTATATTTAATTAGTTTTTCAAAGTATTGGAGATAAGAATTCACGTATTAGTATTACCATAAAATAAAACGAAACATTATGCTCACTTTATTTTTGTTTTGGATACCACATCGGGGGTCATTAGGCAATAAGAAACTTGATTTCACATTTGTGTGCTTTGTACCCCAACACTTTTACTTGTCAACACATGCCCATGTGCGCCATACTGAATAGCAATGTGATTGGCGTATGAGACCGACACATCTCACTCTTATCTGAGGTTCTGGCTAACGATGAAGAATACAGAAGTTTCATGAAGTGTATGCATGCAAAGCAAAGTTTTATTTATTTTTTAATATCTGAGAATAAACCCTATAACCTCCAAAGTTCAGAGTATTTGAACAAGTTGTTTTACATAGTGTGGTTTAGGCCAATATATAATTAGTTATCAGTAAGAGAAAGATAATTTTGATAATCTGCAAATATTTGGAAATTTAATAACATCCCAAATAACCTTAATTTCAGTAAACATAAAAAAATAATTTTAATATTCAATATTAAAATATTTTAAATAGAATGAAATAAAAGCACAGAATATAAAATCGAATGTGTAGAGTAAGACTAAAGCAACCCTTAGAAAATGTGTCATTGAGTAAATGGTTTTTATGTTAGAAAACCAGAAAGAAAACAAAATATAGGTTTTTTGAAAATATAATTATATTGTTAAATTCTTTATAAAATGATCATGAAAAACAGAGACGGAGAAAGCACAATAATACCAGCCAATATAGGAATATACCAATATTATTTATACATCCTGTGGACATTAAAATGGTAATAGGAGAATATGCTGAACAAATTTAGGCCAAAATATTTGAAAATGAACAAATTATTTGAAACATACAAATTACATATACAAAAAGAAATAAATAATCTGAATAGCCTTATATCTATTAAACAATTGAATACATACTTTAAAAAAAAAACCTTAGGCCCAAATCACTTCCCCAGTCAATTAAAAGAAACATTTTAGAAGGAAAAAAATGATTATATTCAAACTCTTTCTGAAAAGAGCAGGGAAGAGAACGTTTTCTAATTAATTTTGTTGGGCCAGAATTCTAGAATCACCTTAATAGCAAACACATACAAAAATGTTGCAGAAGATTACTACAATGCAATATTCCTCACAAACGCAAGTGCAAAAATTCGGGAGATTAATTTTTATTTCTCTAAATTGTCCAATAGTGTCCCCTAAATAAAGGCCTGAATCAAGTTTGAGTGTTTCTGTTTTCATATTAGCATTTAAAAACAATATTCAGGCTGGGTGCAGTGGCTCAAATCTGTAATCCTATCACTTTGGAAGGCCGAGGCTGGCAGATCACTTGAGGTCAGGAGTTCGAGACCAGCCTGGCCAACATGGTGAAACCTCATCTGTACCAAAGATATAAAAAATTAGCCAGGCGTGGTGGCGTGCACCTGTAATCCCAGCTACTCAGGAGGCTGAGGCAGGAGAATCACTTGATCCTGGTAGGCGGAGGTTGCAGTGAGCCGCCATCATGCCATTGCACTCCAGCCTGGGCAACAGAGTGAGACTCCATCTTAAATACATGCATACGTACATACATATATACATACATACATAGATTCATACATAAAATAAAAACAATATTCAGAACATTATTCAGGTAGCGTTCACAGAGTCATCTCTTTTAATTATTTATTTTTGGAGGGTTTTCTTTTCTCTGTTTTGTATGCAAAAATATTTTGTTCCTTTGATTAAAAGGCATGTAACATTTACTTTCTTTTGTATCTTATACAAATACATGATCTCTTGGATTTAATTGTCATAAGCTCTATGGCTAGAATTCCTTTATTTTTTCTAGTGTAAATTTTTAATTTTTTGCTAAGTATCTTTAAACTGATTTTCATAATATATGTGCTCCTCTTATACCCCAAATTATCCAAATATGTACCAAACTTAAACTCTTGAGCTGTCTTTATTCCTTAGCCAGAAGAAATGTGTTACTACCTTTCCAACATCTCTATTTATACTTTTACTTGAACCACTTGCTATTAGTTATCACTCTTTTCTTTTGTTATATTTATTGTTTTCTCTGTTCATATTTATATTTTGTACCATTAAGTACAATAAAGTAGTCTGAGTGAGATAGATTCTTTTTCCAGGGTAAGAGAGAAGAAAAGAAAAACATAACTGTTCATTTCTTTCTTAGCTTTCAAATTTTTTACTCTATAACATATGTTCAAATAATATGTAGTTTACATTTAAGTTATAATTGCTGGATTTGCCTACTTGCTAGCTAGATAAAAATGCTTAAACATCTATAATAGGTCTTGCAATGATTGCATGCACGTGGATCCAAAAGGCAGAGCCATTAACCAAAGATGGTAGGGATTATGGGTGTCTGTTATTGCTGCGTGGGATATTGTCAACTGTTAGTGAAACCACCTATAGGCATACTGATCATGAAATTAAGAAAATCTCAGAGGACAGCTTTAGTTTTCTAATATATATTCTTCTCTTCAAAGGAAATTACACACTTCCTTTAGAGTGGCCATAAGATAAAAATTCCAACAAAACTGAAAATTAAAAAGTGGAATAGAAAGTTTTAAACATCTGGATCATAATCAATTGCTGAGCAATAAACAGCAAGAGTAAATCATAAATCATAGCAGACCAATATAATTACATTTTTTATTGAACTCTAAACTTAGATGTTGATTTTGGTACACTCATTTACTATACTGTCATATTTTCCCTTGCATACCTTATTTAATTCAGATTGAATATGCATGATTCTGTCCTTATGGAATAAACACTAGTGTAGCTTTTAAAAATACCTATATTGCTATCAATGAACTACAGTATATATGTTATGATACAACTAAATTAATTAATAATAGAGTGCAGTAAGGAATGTTATGTGATCAGACTTAAGAATTTGTCCATAAATACTAGAAATTAATACTGACTAATGGAATTTAAGGGAATTTGGAAAAAAATACTAAAGTATTGCATAATTGTTAGATAAAGTTATAACCATTCAAATATATTATGAAATATACGAATGTTAAAATCCCAGAAATATAAAATGTAAATATCTTAGAAGGAAACAGAAATACATGAAAACCTTAATAGAAAATAAACTTATGTTTAAAAACAAATACTGATGAGAAGGGTGGGACCCTGATCTGATAGGATTGGTGTGGCCTTATAAGAAAAGGAAGAAAAAGAGAGATTGATCTACCATGCAAGACCGCAGTAAGAAGGCAGCTTTCTGTAACCCAGGAAGAGGGCCCTTACCACAACCAGACCATGCTGGTACCCTAATGTCAGACGTTCAGCCTCCAGAACTGTGAGGAAAAAACAATGTCTATAGTCAATTTAAGTCACCCAGTCATTAATATTTTAGCATCACAGCCTAAGCAGACTAAGACAGAAACATGTCAAAAGGTTGCAAGAGCCAGGATGTGTGTGTGTATATATGTATATTATATATAATGAATATATATGTGTGTGTATCTATATGTGTGTGTATATATATAGATATATACAAATCTGTATATCATACGTAATGTATATATCATATATATACATATATACACACACATATAATACATATATACACACATACACACACATATATAGAGAAAGAGACAGAGTAGTGGATTATAAACTATTGGACAACTGAAGAATCATGAGTTCATATAATACATATAAATTTTAAACAGGAACATTCTTCCTTGTAGTAGAACACCAACCATTAAAGAGAAATAATAATGGAGTTAGAAAATATCAATTAATACTAAAAGTATGAGAAAAAAATGAGGAACAATATTTACATAATATTAACATATTTCTCTATGTTGTGGGCTGAATATTTGTGTCCTTCCAAATTCATATTATGAAATTCTGCCAAAGTAATGGTATTATGAGGTAGAGTCTTTGGGGATGATTAGATCCTAGAGCTGGAGCCCTTATTGAGTGGGATTAGTGCCCTTGTAAGAAGATGCATGAGAGAGCTTGTTACCTCTCTCTCTTCTGCTCCACGTAAGGACACAGACACAAGAATGCCATCTGTAAACCAGAAATTGGGCCCACACCAGAATCTGACCATGCTGGCACCCTTGTCTCAGACATCAAAATGATGGGAGAATGTTGATCCTAACCTCTGAATTCTTTCTTTGACTCCTATGACATATTTACCTGGTTTGCCTCCTACTTCTTTGGAAACTCCATCTAAGTAGTTTAGTGGTTGAATTTTTCTCTTTCTGAATTTCCAGAGAAGTCTTTTTACCGTAATTTGAAGCTCTTTTTCTCAAGCTGTAATCTCTAAAAATGGCTTCAGGTACTTACCTTGATGCTCCCAAATTAATCTAACAGATGCAGGCTTTTGATAAGAACTTTTTTTTTTCTTTTTTCTTTTTGAGAGGGAGTCTTGCTCTGCCGCTCAGGCTGGAGTGTAGTGGCGGGATCTTGGCTCACTGCAACCTCTGCTTCCCGGGTCCAAGCGATTCTCATGTCTCAGCCTCCCGAGTAGCTGGTAATACAGGCCTGTGCCACCATGCCTGGCTAATTCTTGAATTTTTAGTAGAGATGGGGTTTCATTATGTTGGCCAGGCTAGTCTCCAACTCCTGGTCTCAAGTGATCTGCCTGCCTCAGCCTCCCAAACTCCTGGGATTCCAGGCGTGAGCCACTGCGCCTGGCCCAATAACTTTATTTTCATATACTTGTCTAATAAAATATTTACTTGGATATTTTAAAGTCAATACAAGGGCTTTTTGACTAATACATATTACACTATTATTCCCCAGGATTATAATACTTTATTGTATAACCCATTTTCCCAAAAGGATGAATTCCTTCATAGAAGAGAGATGACAGTAAATTTTCATATAAATAAATACGTTTATACCCTGGCAAAACCAAGTGTTTCCAGGAATGTCAAACCAGTAAATCTCAGACATTCTTGGCAAAAATATGTAATTGGTACAATTATGTTGAAAACTGATTTGGTTTATATAAAAATAAAGTTCTTATGAGTACATTTTCATTTGTCTCTTTTATGTGACTTCTGTCTCTATGCTGGATTTTTCCAACTGTGCAAACATGTTCAATTTTCCACTATTTTCATTAACATAATTTCTTGACTTTTTAAATGAGTTATAAAATTTAATATCAGACATTGTATATCAAAGAATAGTAAAAGCTAAAATAAACATTTACATCCAAAGTAGATATGCCCTTTTTCAGTTATCTGGTTAATGAAGAAATTTAGTCAATCTACATTGTACTTATGCTGGATCTGGGCTTTGTTTTCTCATTTACCATAGTGCACAGAAGACTTCAAATTCCTCTGTATTCATTGGTCACCAGGTGTCATTTTGCTAATATTCCTTCAGTCAACCCGTTAGAATAACACTGATCTTCAGGATTAGTGGTTCTCAAACTTCAGAATGCATAAAGATCACCTGTAGGTCCCTGACACACAGATTGCTGAATACTTTCCTCAAAATTTCTGATCTAGTAGGTCTGGAAGAGGTAGTGCAAATTTCCCTCAAGTTCCTAGGTGTTACTGATGAGCATGATCTAAGAACAATATGTTGATAATAGCTGCCCTAGATGAGGATCAGCAAACTATATATGGAAATATTGTAAGCCTCCTGTTTTTGTAAATAAAGTTTTATTAAAACACAGCCATGACAATTCATTGACCAACCTTTTATGGTAGCTTTTACATTTTAACAACAGAATTTAATAGATGTGGCAGAGGTCTTATGATCTGAATTGCCTAATATCTGTGCTATTTGCCTTAAAAAAACAAAAAGTTTGTGTTAGGCACTACCTCAAAACCTCAGAAAGGAATTTTCCTGGGTTGTTGAATCATTAAAATAGTTTTTCTATTACCTAGAGATTTGAAGAAAATAATTTTAGATACAGAATTTCTGGCTTATGCTATCTTTCTTGAGTCTCTTTATAATGTTGCTCCACTGTTGTCTTGCATTATTTTGTTGAGGTGTGTGATGCCAAACTTATTTTCTAACCTTAATAAGTAACTTGGTATTTTCACCTCAAAGCCTAAAGGATTTTTTTAAATCTTAAAACCTAATACATTTCCTGGAGTATCTTTCACAGTTAAATATTTAGGAAAAGAATGTTCTCAAATCTAGCTACATATATCTCTATCTATTCAAAGGAAACCCAATCAAAATTCTAAAACGTAACTTGTGGAAATTAATAGGTTGATCATAATATTTATATAGGTATTGAAGTGACCTATAATAGAAAAAAAATTAAAGAAGAAAAAGTTGTAGTACTTATACTCACTCATTTTAAGAATGACCTTAAAGCTATAGTAATCAGGACAGTGTGGTATCGCCAAAGGGATATCTTTAAAGATCAATAGTACAAGGACAGCTCAGGAATAGATTATCATTGACTTACATGGTCAATTGCTTTTTTTGCAATGATGACAGAGCAAACTTATGGAAGAAGAATATTCTTCTTATTCAATGATAATAGGACAATCGAATATACATTTTTAAAAATATTGAAGAACATCACAAAGACAGCCATTTTCACACCATATACTAAAATGAACTCGAATGGGTTAATAGATTTAAAAATTATAATTAAAACTGTAACATTTCTACAAGGTTATTTAGAAAAAAAAACCCATGGTCTGGAGCTTGGTAAAGATTTCATAGATAGGGGAAAAGGCATACGTTTCAGAATACCAGAAGTAAAACTGCATTTATTAGTAGATGATCTGATTATGTACACATAAAATTAAACATGTATAATCTAGAAATTTTACTCCTAACTATGTACCAAAGAGAAATTAAAATATATTACTACACATCAACTTTCATAAGATATCTGTAGTACTTTTAGTGATAAAAAACAAAAATTATAAACAGAATATCCAACCCAAGATGAATGGGTAGAAACAGTGTGATATATTCATACAATGGAATCTTACTCAGAAAATAAAAAGAATACCTATATGTGCAATATTATAAACAATTTTCAAAAATAGATTTCTCTGCAAACTAACTGAAGTTCTAAACAGTATATGATGTCTTCCTGCTTACTTGGATTTCTAAATTTCTATAACAGAGAAAACTAATCTGTGAAAATGTAAATCAGAATAGTGTCTTGTTTTCCTTTGGTGGGATTGATTTGAAAGGTACAATGGACATTTCTGGAATGATAAATGCTCTATAGGTTGATAGTCTTGTATGAGGCATACTCATTTTCAAAACTCATAGTATTACACAATTTAAATCTGTGCTTTTTACTAGAGGTAAATTTTATACATATTTTATACATATTTTGTACATTTTTATACATATTTTATACATATTTTATACAAAATTTTATACATATTTTAATAAAACATGTATAAGTTCTCTGCCATAAAATATACATAATGTTTTGTGTTATGCATATTATTAACTTATTTGGAATATTTTATTAGGTTTTTAAATTATTTTAAGCATTGAGAACATTTGTTATTTGTTATTAAGAGAATGTTACATTTCACATAGTATTCTAATGGAAAAACAGAGGGAAATATGTCTAGAGGTATATGTAGCATATTCCTTTTAATTATTATAAACAAAATATATGAAGTGCTTTCTGCAAATTTTATTCATGTTATAAATTATGTTATCCATTTCATTCATATATGTTATTAAAAATATTTGCTTGCAGAGTAAATACTATATAAATTTTCTATTATTTTCTCCTCTGGTCCATTTTTTTGCTAGTCTTCTTCTCATTTTGTCAAATCAATCACCTTATGTGAATTTTAATACCTTAATATAGATTTTGACCTCTTTTTTTCAGTAACCAATTCTCACATTTCTGAGACTTTTCTTCTGACAAGGGAAAAATATTATTTATTGAATGTTCAAAAGATTAAAAAAGTAGATTTATTAGGTTTTCTTTTTGAATGCAGTGTTTCGTGCAAAGCATATATGTGTGTTTGTGTGTGTCTGATTGTTTTCCTTCAGTCATCAATTTACCCCTATAATTGTTAACATAGCTTCAGGAAAGATATAGAGGAGATTAAAAGCAGATGCCTATATCTCTAGAACCTCAACAATTCAACAATTCATAAACAAGAAGTTTATAAAGGTTCAAAAATCTGCAAAAATTCTGGTAGGAGGGGCATGCTGTCTCCAGTATGTTTGATGAAAATTGTTAACATACAAGGACTTTTACTCATTCTTCCTTAAGCATAGACTATGGGAGGATTCTATGAACACTTTCCACTAAATTCAAATTTAAGATGAGATTATTGGATGTAAAGAGTGGAAGAAAGCACAGAGAAAGTGAAATTATTTATTCCCCAAATCTTTTTATTTGATAATTTCAAAACTAATTGAATCAAAATAAACTGTATTACTTAAAACTTTGTATTGAAATATTTTTATTAAAATATTTTGCAATGATTTTTTGAAATAAAATTTATATTATTTCAGAATCAAGTATTACATTATCTGGGCAGTGAGGGATTAATGGAAAGTCTCAGGCAAATTTTCCATTATTCGACGGTGCCATATGCAGCAACAGAAAATGAAAGAATAATACTACCAAGTAATATACAATTTATTGTCTAATTTACAGTAAATCAATAGATAAAAACATTCTATACCTGAATGGCATGACTACATATAAATACTATCTCTTATTTTACTACAACATTCTCAACTCTGTTTGCTATAACATTCTCAAAACAATTTAATTTCCAAGAAAGAAAATATAATCATCCTTTAAAAATGAAAACCATGTTCATTCTTGCTTTAAAAAAAATCAAACTATGAAAATAATATTGAACCATTGGGCTCATCTAAAATCTATTACAAGCCACATGATCTCTCTTCTGTCATATTTTCCACAGAAACATGAAATCATTCAATTATAATTTTAAAGTGTTGAATATAAATTTTATATCCATTTGAAAATCCTATAATACCAAATAAAGTGTTAATTATATTTTCATTTAAAACCAACATTTAAAAAATCTCAGAGGACAAGAGAAACCAAAAGGTTTCTCTCTTGTCATTGAATGTGGGAACCTGTATCCCATAGCTAGCAAAAGCGCATTGAATCCTTCTCACACTTAGAGTCTCTGATCTCCTTCTGCCACATCTCTCTTTTTATCTATTTATGAATAACAATAGAGCATCTCTTATTTCATGTACTATGTAAGAACATTCTTACATGTTTTGCTAAAAAATTAACTAGATGATTGCATAGAAAGGTATAGTATTTTAATGAAATATAGCAAATTTGATAGCATTTCTGTCTGCCTTTGGAGTAGCATACCTCTATTTCTTAGAATCAGGCAATGATACTTACCCTCATCGTTGTCTTTTGTATCAGGAACTTTCCACTGTAACACTTCCCTGTATTGGATCTGTATATGTCAGTGAAAGTATTAAGTAATCAGATGGTAGCTGCTTTTCCCAAAGGTAATTAAATATGATCAATGTGTTATACACATGGGTGTGCACATTTGTACACACATACATAAAGGGGAAAAATGTGATTTATATAATCACAGTTTAAATTTAAAATACATGTCAAAAATTACTTATTAATCACTTTGAATACCTACGACATACACACACTTGGGACATAGCATTATTTTCTCTAGTTGTCTAGAGACTCATGTTTGAGTTGAAAAAGATAATTGTACTTGCTTTTTATTGCTGCCATACCAAATAGGCACAAATTTTGTGGCTTAAAACAACACAGCCAGGTGTGGTGGGTCATGCCTGTAATCCCAGCACTTTGGGAGGCCGAGTCGGGCGGATCATGAGGTCAAGAGTTCAATACCAACGTGACCATCATGGTGAAATCCTGTCTCTACCAAAAATACAAAATTAGCCAGGCATGGTGGTGCACGCCTGTAATTCCAGCTACTCAGGAGGCTGAGGCAGGAGAGTCACTTCAACCCAGGAGGCAGCGGTTGCAGTGAGCTCAGATCACGCCACTGCACTCCAGCCTGGATGACAGAGCGAGACTCTGTCTCAAAAAACAAACAAATGAACAAACAAACAAAAACAAACAAACCCCACAAATTCTGTATCTCACAGTTTTATATATTAGAAGTTCTAGCTGGCTTTACTGATTTCTCTGCTCTGAATTTGATAAAGCCAAAATCAAGCTAACTAGACTTTTCTCAGGATACTCTGGGAAAATTGTGCTTCTAACTTGCCCAGGTTGTTGACCGAATCTAGGTCCTTGCAGTTTTAGGACATTTCGTTTCCTGTTATCTGTCAGCTGGCAGATGGTCTAGCTCCAAGAGGTTTCTATCTTGTCCTTGAATGTGGGAACCTATATCTCATAGCCAGCAAGGGTACACTGAATCCTTTTCACCCTTAGAATCTCTGATCTCCTTCTGCTACATCTCTCTTGCCAGAGAGAGTTCTCTGCTTGTAAGCTCTCATGTGAGTAGATGGACCCACCTAGTTAATCCAAGACAATCTCCCTATTTTAAGGTCTATGATTTTGATTATATGTGCAAATATATTTATGCCATATAATATGACAGATTCACAATTTCTGAGTATTAGGGCAATGATATCTTCGGCAGAAGCATTATACTGCCTACCAGGATAATATAAGCCACATCAATGTCAGAGAGGAAAGGAGTGCTAGAATCAGGATTCAAGTTTAGAGCTTTTCAAATGTATCTACATTTAATGCGTAGTTTTCCTCAGTCTTCATTTAGTAAAACAAAGCTTATGTAATTTAATTAGACATAGACAGACACAAGTGAAATGGGCAAACTAGAATTCTAATTTATATTTGAAGACAGATTTACAAAGCAGTTATTTCATAAAATAGGTATCCATATATTTTTGTATGTGTCTATGTTTGTACACATGTGTATGTGTGTGCTTGTGTATGTATGCATAAAATCAGAATATATTGGAGAAAGATGGTGTATTAGTCTGTTCTCACACTGCTATAAAGAAATACCCGAGACTGGGTAATTTATAAAGGAAAGAGGTTTAATTGACTCAGAGTTCTGCATGGCTGGGGAGGCCTTAGGAGACTTACAATCATGGCAGAAGGGGCAAGCAAACATATCCTTCTACACATGGCATCAGGAGAGAGAAGTGCCAAGCAAAGGGGGATGCTCCTTATAAAACTATCAGATCTCGTGAGACTCACTCACTGTCACACAAGAATAGCCTGGGCGAAACTGCCCATTATTCAATTACCTCCCACCAGGTCTCTCCAATGACACGTGGGGATTATGGGAACTATAATTCAAGATGAGATTTAGGTGGGGATGCAAAGCCAAACCATATCAGATGGAGAGTGATCTTATCATCTAATGTTTGTGTTTATGTGCCTTTATACATTAAATTACATCTGAGAAAAGGGTAGGAGTTTAAGGAGAGCAATCTGAGACAGATTCTGTGAAAAATAAAATATGGTCCAATTAGCACAGTTTTAAATAATTGCACAATTCTCTCTGAATTCTGATTATATTTCTTAAAAGTTTGGTGTTATATTAGTATCTCCTTCCTTGCTCTTTTCCATAAGTCATGAAATGGTTGCATTTAATCTTTATAGCTTTGCTGCAGTACGCATGCTCTATTTCTTTCTCTGAAGGCCAAAATATAGTAAGGGTATGGAATATTTGAAAAATACAATTACAATTTAGTCTATCCCCACTATTAGGAAAATCATATTTCTCATAAACACCCAGGGGTTATACTAAACAAAATGACTAAGTGCTAAACAAAGGCTTATCTCAAAGTATTTTATGAGTGGTACTGTAACAGATCAAGGATATTTAAACATAATTCAATCAAGTTTTTTAATTGAACCTTGAAATTATTATAAAAACTGAAGGAAGCCAGACACTAAAGGACAAACATTGTGTGATTCTACCTAAATGAGGTAACTAGAATAGGCAAATTCAGAGAGATATGAAGTAGAACAGGGATTCCTAAGGGGAGGGGAAATGGATAGTGATGGTAGTTAGACAACACTCTGAATGTACTAATGCCACTGAATTGCACAGTTAAAAACATTTAAAGTGGTAAATTTTATGTCACAAGTATTTTACTACAATAAAAAACGTTAAAGAAAATTATAGCAACCCTTGGAAATTGCTGACACACACACAGACACAAACAAAACTTTTACTATGTTATGATCCAAGGAAAAATTAAACAAATGTTTTATTCTAATTAAATAGAAAAAGATGATATTTGAAAATAGTGGAATACCATAAAACCTGTACTTGTGGGGCAAATTTTAACACTGAAAGTTTATATAAATAAAGAAGGCGGGGAGTGGTGGTTCACACCTGTAATCCCAGCATTTTGGGAGGCTGAGTTGGGAGGATCTCTTCAAGCCAGGAGTCCCTGACTAGCCTGGGAGCCAAAATGAGACCCCTTCTCTACAAAAATGACTAATAACTAAAAGTATTCCTACACAGTGATGTGCACCTTCAGTCCCAGCTACTCAGGAGGCTGAGATGAAAGACTTACTTGCACCTAGGAGTTCGAGGCTACAGTGAGGCAAGAATGTGCCACTGCATTCCCAACTGGGTAACAGAATGAGACTTTGTCTCTAAAGAAATAGATTTTTAAAAATAAAACAAAATAAAGAAGACTAGTAATGGTTAAGCTAAACATACATATTATGAAGTTTTGAAAATAATAGGAAAATTAAACCAAATAAAGTAGAAGGAGAGAGAAATATACATGAACATAAGTGTATGAAATTGAGTGTGTTTACAAAGGTAAAAATTGAGTGGTTGAGGAGGGCAATAATATAGATAATTTCTTGAGAAAACTATAAATAAAATAATGATACAAATAAATTGTAGGAATACAAAAGAGGACAAATTATGGGTTTGTTTTTTGTCTACCTTTCTCACTAAAATATACTCTTATGAACATAGAGGGTTTAGTCTGTTTTATTTACCACTTCTAGCAGGCAAAATAGAAGTCCCCAAAGAATGTCCACATCCTCAGCCAAGGAAGCTGTGAATGTGCTTCCTAACAAGGCCAAAAGGACTTTGCAGATGTGATTAAAGATCTTGGGGTGTGAAGATTATCCAGGATTATCCAAATGGAAGAAATGAAATTATATGTGAAAGAAAAAGACCAAGTTGTTCAGTATCAGAAAGAGATTTGAAGATGCTAAATTGCTGTCTTTGAAGGAATGGAAGGAGCAATGAGCCAAGGTGTAGAGGAAGCCTCTAAAAGTCCGAAAATGTGAGGAAATGGATTCTCCACTAATGCTTTCAGAATGATCTTTGATTTTTAGATCAGAGAAACCCATTTTGGACTTCTGATCTCTAGCACTATACGATAGGAAATTTGGCCCCTTGTAAGTCATTAAGTTTTTGGTACTTCGCTATAGCAGAATGGATCACTAATAGACTGCTACATTCTCAGGACCTGCAATGATCCTAGGCACAAATTAGTCAACTAATAAGCATATGTCATTACTAAACAAATTCATAGGACTAGGAAACATTATACATGGTTATGATATGAGAAATATATATATGTGTGTGTGTGTGTATGTGTGTGTGTGTTTGTGTGTGTGTGTGTTTGTGTCTATGTGCTTTTGTGTGTGTGTGTGTGTGTGTGTGTGTGCATATTTCTCCATAAACTAAATTATGCTTATGTGGGTCTGTGGTATTAAATTTTATATGTTTTGTTCATGAAATTATTTTACTTACAAACAATAAAAATAGCATTTACTTAAATATGTACTTTTTTTCTGTAGATTCTATCCTTGCAGTACTCAATGTAGGAGTTGCAAGTTTGTACAGATTAATACAGAATAATATTAAATTTAATCTTAAACCCCTAAATAAAGCATAGTCTTCCATCTCACTAGTTTCTTTTTAATGTCAGAAACATCCTTCCATGTACACCTTGTAGAGCTTATAAGGATTTACTTGACTTATAGCACTTATAGATGAGTTTTTAAAAATTACCAACCACTTTCAACATTTAACAAACCTGAATCAGAATTGGTTTTACATAGATTTATCTAAAAATAGATATTACTCTCTCTAATTTGAGAAAGGTCAGAAAAGACAACACAAACTAAAGTAAAATAATATTGTTCCAGAAAATTTGGTGAGCCGCTAGCAGAAGGACTGAGACTTTTAATCAAACCCACTTTGACTAAGAAACTGGTAAAGCTTTCAGCCATTGTGATGTATGTAAAAATATAAACTGTTCTTTATAGAGTTATTTCCTATTGCAGAAGTACATGTTGTTATACACACACAAGAGATGGATTATTTCCTATCTTGACATCCAAAGTTGATCAGATACTACAAATCTAACCTTATAGACCATACTGTAGAAATAGGAAGGAACACTGACGTTATTTCAGAAAACGTAGAGACTTCAAACTTTGAAATGAAGTACTGCTTTTTTAAGAGTTTTTTAAAAAAACTCTTTTGAAATAGTTGTTCTTGTTACTTTACATATTAAAATATAAAAAGAAAATCACTACTGTGTGCTTGCCCCCTTATGTGAAAACCTTAGATTTGCCATAGAATTATTAACATAGTGGCATCAAATATTTTTATTGAATTGTACAATAAAAAGTCCACACATCTCTCCAGATAAATTGACATTGTATAAATGTGATTATATTCTAAAACATTAAAAATATTATATTAATGTGAATATATTAATCAGTGGCTCTGTCTCAACTGGGTACAGGACACTGGAATGCATATAAAAGTAGAAAAAATAAACTCAGAACTGGAAATATTAAATGGATGAGATCACAGATTTTATACAAAGAGAATAGGATTGGGTTGGGTGATTTCTAAGTTCCTTTTTGACTATGACATTACTGTAATGAAAGGTTGAGAAGAATTAATTTGTCATAGGTGGCATTTTTAGCATTCTTACCTGTTTCACAGAAAAGTTGCATAATTAAAACTTACAAGTCCATGCAAGAACTAATTCTTAGATTCAAAAAACAATTAGGAATAGGATATTTACAAGAATAAAAAATAACACAGGTCCACTGGCCTTAATTTTAAGACAAAATATTTTCCAAGACTCTTTTTGGTTAACAACAGTTATTTAAAAACTCTGTGGATGCTCTAGATTATGTCAATCATTCACTTATTAATCCATTCATCAAGTATTAATTAACTGCTTGAAATTAGCCAGTGTGCTAGTTGTATAGAAAAAGAAAAACTAATTAATGAGAAAGAATATGCCATAAACATTGGGTTGATAAATTCAGCATATTAGAATGGACCCATTAAATGGAAAATTTAAGTCAATTTTTTACTGCATTTGACTGTGTAGGTACTGAGAATATCGTCAGATAATCTAGAACACGTATGCTCATACACCTTTCATTATGTACAAAAACATGTGACTAAAATAATGGACATCAAGTCTTTTGAAAAGCCCAAAGCTTAAAAAATAATGTAAAGTAAAAATAATTGGCTAAAAGATGCTGTTTTCTAGTACCAGATAAATGTATAGGTTTTAAAATTAGAAGGCACTTAAATTATTGAAAATTTGATTTACTATCTATACACCATGGAGTTTTCTCAGTTATTTGAAAGATAAAGGAAATTTCACCCACTCCACAAATGGACGATTGATTCTACATTTCCTTATTTCAGGTATTTTCTTAAGAATTTAAAACCAGTTCTACTGTCATAATATGCACTATCAAAAAACCCTGATAAAGATCAACTTGAACATAAGAAACTTGGTATTCTGAGAAATGTTTAAATCCTTATATTTATGCCTTAACCAGTGTAAAATAAAGAGTGACTTTGACATAATTTCTTGCTGTGAAAAGTGTTTTATGATTTCATCAAAAGATTAACCATACAGATACAAAGATATGTTTCATGCAAAAAAATCTTACTCATAAAACAGGATAGAAGATTATATGTTATGTAAGCATATTTTTCTAAATATAATAATCCTCAAGCTTTCTGATTAGATGTCAGCAATTCTTGAAAATGTAAGCAGATTAGAATTGCTAGGGTAAATCTCAATTCAGCTCTTTGCTTCCTTTTATTAGGTGAACATTGTAAACTACAATTTCTGCTTATGCCTGCAGTTGACCTTATTGTATTGAAAAGATTATTTTTTCATACATAGTTTCTTACTTAGTTTCCTTGTTAAATCTGATTTCAAGTTTTAAGTCCTCTTTTCCTATGCATCACCCCACCCCAAATTGAACAACTGTACATCTAGTTGTATCATGAATATAAATATTCAGACAACATAGAAACCAAAGAAAGTAACCCTATACTAAACCATCTACTGGAAAGATTAATTTACTAATATTGATATCTTATGGATTTATTGAAAAAATTACAATGGATATTGTTATGAATTGTTTAGCTCTCACAGTTTTACACCATGTCAACTAGGATAATCTGGAACTGCTTCTCCAGGAATGCCCTTCCCTGCCTGTTTCCCCCTGAGAGTTTGGAAAAAAAAAAAAAGAGAGAGAATTGCATGAAATTTGGAGGGCAGAAATAAAGCAGTAATCACTAGTTTCTGAAGGCCATTGTGGTCAGACGAGCCAAGAGAGAAATTCAGAGCTGCTGTCAGTTTTCAGGTTGTCTTTGTTCCCCTTCATGGTGATAGATAACAAATAGATACCTGAAGGTTCACGTTGGTTCTCAACCATTCTGTGTCTAGCTCTTCCTTCCAAGTGCCAACTCTGGATCACGAGTTCCCTCAGGCCAACTGCCAGATAAGGAAGAAAAATTGTGCTACTTCCTTGATTCAGTCCTGACTGAAATAGTTTTTGATATCACAAATTATTCCAGAGGACTGAAAGTTCAGGATAAGAATCTCTACTTTGTATTCATATCTGATTACATTTAAAGACAATGATGTCTCTATCATCAGTATTTAAAGGGTCATTGGAGGCCCATGGCAAACAGTGGAAAAACGGTTACTTAAATTATCCTCTGTAGATACTTGTAATCAAGTGCATGCTGAAAGTAAAGTTAAACATTAAGTAGTTTCTGACATAATAGACTAGTGAAAATAAATTGTATAAAGGAGTTGGAGGATTGCTTCTAAGAACACTTAGCAACATAGAGAAAAAATTTGCAGGTCACAGAAAATTCTCAGGTGAAGGTCCACATTAGAGACCAGAAATCTACTATGACTACCTTGAAAAAAAATCTAATCTCCTATAGCCACAAGACAGAGATTTCTAGAAATTCAAACCAAAGACAAAAATATTGGTGGTTTCAATACAATGTGAATTAAATTTATTAGCATGCAGTACCTATAATGTTAAATTGAAGCATTAATAAGGAAAGGGTGGAACCCTGAAAATTAGGAAGGGTTTATACTGCAAATTATGATGACACTGAGGATATTGAAATGCGTATTCCCTCTAAACAATGTTCGTGTATAATCCCACTGTAATTTATCAACATTTTAGATTGGTTTTATATGTATAACTTGTTACTGGAAGTTAAGTAGAACTTTCTTTGGTATTGGAATTAGAGCTTACAGTTAAAATCAAGATGCACTTAGAACCTCATGTTCTATGAAATCAACCATAAATTGAATCATTTCAGCTTATCTGGGGCTTGTTAAAATGCTGCATGATTGCTTGTCATTCCATGGCATTCCTGAAACAATCTATGTAGGAATTTTGGAGAGGGGATTGCAGTATTTATGCCAAGAAGTTTGTCTATTCCTTGAATCTGCATATTTAAGTAGAATTCAAAGAGAATCATACACACAGATTGGATTTCCTACAAGGGGACACAAATGGCATTTCTCAGAAGGGTCTAATTGGGCAAGATAATTGCTTATATGAACCCATACTCCATGACTAAGAGGGCAGGGGTACCTAGAGTGTTGTCTGGGCCAATAAAAAGACAAAAGTGTAGTGGGTTAGGGATATATTTGTATTTGTTTATCAATTCATGGATTTCCTGTGGGTTAGGTGGACAATATGGAAGGCAGAATTGGAATAACCTTAAGGACCCCATCCAAAAGGGGTAAAAATCGGTGTTTCAGAGCAATGTATGGAAATAGTGTCAGAGTCTGACAGGAGTTAGGAAGGCAAAATTAGTCAAGCTTGGTTAACAAAACTACAAAGAGAGGTGGTCCATAAGGAGCTCAGAAAAATTTAGCAATCTGCGACTAGAGTTCTGATCCACAGAGAACATCAGAGGCTATAACAAGTAAAGGTGGGTGAAGTGTAGATTGCAGAACAATTCTATGAAGATTATCTTAGCTCATTCAGGCTGCTATAACAAAATATAGACTGGGTGGTTTATTAACGACAGACATGTATTTCCTTCAGTTCTGGAAGCCGAAAAGTCTAACGTCAAGAGTTCAGCAGACTGGTTGCTTGTTAAGAGCTCATTTCTCAATTTATAGATGGTATCTTTTAGCTGCATTCTCAAATGGTGAAAAGAACTGGGCCTCTCTCATAAGAGCAATAATCCCTAATCACCTCCCAAAAGCCCTGCCTCCTAAAACCATCATTTTGTGGATTAACATTTTAACATGTGAGTTTGAGAGAGATACAAACATTCAGACCATAGCAAAAAGAAAAAAAAGGGGGAGAATATTTGTATCAAGTATGAGTTTGATCTGGATTTGGAGAAATCATGGAGACAGAGTGGGTTGGACTCAGTTTGAAATTCAATAAGTCATACTATTTTATAATCCATTTTCTTTGAGTGTGGAAGGGAAGTGTGACTTGTTTCTGGTAAATAATATATGGGAAAGGTAAAGGAATTTTGTCTAACTTCTTTAAGTGTCAAAACGTTGATTTAAGATTAATAGTAGGAAAGAATATCCTGAGTGGGCCTAACTTAACCAGGTGAAAATCCTTCAAACAGGGACAGAGGGCTCTTTGGTTCAGAGACTATTTCTCTCCTTCTGGCTTTGAAGGAGCCTGGAGAAATTGTTCTATGTCATCAAGAAACACATTCTGCCAACACCCACGTGAGCTTGGAAGAGAAACCTGGGTGTCAAATAACCCCCCAGCCTGGCTGATACCTTGATTACAGCCTGAGGAGGGCCTGAGGAAAGACCCCAGCTAAGTTATGTTTGTACTCCAGGCCTAAGAAATAGTGAGATTATGAATGGCTCTTGTTTTTAGCCTCTGTGTTTGTGGTAATGAGTCGTGCAGCAATAGAAAACTAATTCACACATTTTAAAAATCACTTCTGATCATCACCTAAAGCCAGGGAAAGCAACCAGTAATACAAAAGAATGAAAGCGTGGATAATATTACTAAAATAATTATTGGTGGCAGGGATGAGTCATGGCTGCACTACCTGTGAACAGCACTTGTATAGATTCAGCAGCAGTGCCACAGGGCTGACTGAAAGGACAAGCAGAGGTTAGAGGGAAACTTAGCATATGGGTCACTCAGAAATCACCAAATTAAATACTCATTCCCATTTTCTTTATTCGTCTTCATTCTGATCAACCACACAGAAATCACACACACACACACATGCACACACAAACATACATACGTGTAAAATTATTCATATTCCTTCCCTATATTTATTTCCACTTTCTGAGTGAGAAAGCGATGAGAATGCACTTAAATGGGAAAGGTCCTCACAGGCTCTCAGTAGCAGGTGAATGCTAAAATAAAACCACTAAAACCACACACACATATGAAGAACACTCATGCAGAGTCTTGTGAACAAACTATAGAAGAATCAAGGAGGGCTGGGAAAACTGGAAAAACATTTGGAAAATAAAAATATCGATATATAGTGCATTATGGCCAAGGGTAAATACTAAAGGGGTTGGGAAGAGCAAAGGAATCAGGCATATATAAGTGTAAAAAATAAAACTATAAAAATATAGTTAACATAAATATAATAAAACTGTAAAAATCTAGAGGAAAACGTAGATGAACCACACTATGACCTAAAAAGTAAGCAATTGTTTTATACTCATGATTCAAAAATTGGACATGATAAATAAAAATAATTATACATTAGACTGCATGAAAAAATAATAATTTTTTTTCTGCCAAACCATACCATGATGACAAAATACAACTTATATACTCAGCAAATATTTGCAAGTTGAAGAGGCACACCTACAGAGAGGCTATCTAAATAACCAATATACATCCTAAAGGGCTCTTAATCTCATTGCTCCAGAGGCAAATGCAAAGTAAAACCATGTTGTTATAGTACTAGACACCCACCCCAGTATCTAAAATTAAAACGAAAAACAGAACATTATCCATATCACATGTTCATAAAGATGTGATGTTACTTCCACTGTCATACACTGTTGGTGGTAGGGAAAATTTGTACAATCACTGTGTTAAGTTGTATGAGAGTATCAACTAAAGCTTCATATTTGTCTCAGCTATTACTCTGTAATTGCATTACTAAGTGATTCTCAAGAGATACTAAAAGAAATATATGAGGTGCTTTTAGAGCCTTATTTTTAATAGCACCAAACTGGAAACATTCCAAATGTCTATCAACAAATGACTGGAGAAATAAGTTTTGGTATGTTTCTACAAGTGGCACAGCACATAAAAGTTACAAGCTAAAAATATATAACAAAATTAATAACATTTTGTTCTAAAACATATTTTCATTGCTGAGTCTTCATCAATATTATGTGGAGTTTGAGTGAAAAATGAAATCTTGAAGTGTTTCAGGAGCAAAGCCCTCTTGGAAGGATAAGTTTACAAAACAAATTTAAAAATAGTGATTTTCAAGGATTTGGCCAGATCATGATTTTTTTTTTTTTTCAGAAGTCCGAAGAACTAAGTTCAAAACTTTTGAAAATGTAGAGTTCTCAAGAGTTTGAGAGAGCCTTACTGGGAGAATGCAGCCGGGCTGGGCAGAATGCAGCCGGGCTGGGCAGAATGCAATCCCCAGCAAACTTGTGGTGCTGACATAAAGAAGCGTCTCAAAATGCTCAACTCAAACCTCTGAAGCATGGAAGGAAACCTATCAAGCTCTCTGTCAAAACTCCATAAAGATCCAGAATAAATAAAGAATGCTTACAATTCAACAATGTAAAGACAAATAACAAATAAGTGGGCGAATGATTTCAATAGACTTTTCCCAAAAAAAGTTGCATGACAAAGAATAAGCTCGTGAAAGGGTGCTCAACATTGTTAATCATTAGGGAGACGCAATGCAAAAACAGAAAGATGGATGGAAACTTTTCACCCACTAAAATGCATGCAACAAAAAAGACAGATAACAGGTATAATGATGTAGAAAAACTGGAACCTTATGTTACTGGTGGGAATGTAAAGTGGTACAGAGGCTTTGGAAAATAATCTGGCAGTTCCTCAAATGATATAACATAGAAGACAGCAATTCTACACCTAGATATGTACCCAAGAAAAATGAAAACATTTCTAAACAAAGATGCGTACGTGGATATTGATAGCTACATTATTCCTTATGGCCCAAAGTGGCAACAATCTAAATGCCCATCAACTGATGAATGAATAAAGAAAATGTGTTATATCTATACAATGGAATATAAAGAAATGAAGTACTGTTCCATGCTACTACACAGATGATCCCTGAAAACATTATGTAAAATAAAAGCCAGTCACAGAGGATAACATGTTGAGTGATTTCATTTATAAAAACATACGTAATAGGAAAATCCATAACATCAGAAATTTACAAATTACTATTGGCAGGAGTGGAGCATAGGATAGGGTGGGAAATGGGAAGTAACTGATGTTCTTGTTGTGATGATGAATGTATTCTGGAATTAGACATTGGTGCTGGTTGTACAACTTTGTGCATATATCAAAACTCACTGGATTTCACACTTAAGGAGAGTAAGATGATGGTATTTGAATTATATATCAATAAAGCTATTACTAAACCAAAGGAGCGCTACCTCAGGAGACCACAAATATACTAGGAATCGAGTGAAGCCCATTAAGCAAATTGAGAAAGCAAACTCAGACTTGATTCAACTCAGTGAATGATCAGTTTGATGTGTTTAGACCCCTCATCCTGTCGGCCTAAGGGAAAAGCTGGGACACAAGGACCTTAGACTTTAGTCTCTAAGCTTTTTTATACATACTGTAAGGCAGGAAAAGAAACAATAAATGTGACTTATAATCAATAGAAAAATGAAATAGAAACAAAGGGATAATTTAGATTACAGTTAAGCTGCAAGTATTTTTAAATAATAGTGTAAATATTTTAGAGACAAAAGAAAAAATCAGAGATAAAATCATCCCATAAACATAAATATATACATATATTTTAGTGAACTATATTAAAGATTGTAAAGCAAGTCTGAAAAAATTTCAAGAAATATAAAACATAAAGCGTATGTTATTTCTTATAGCTAGTGGAACTAGTAATAGGAGATACCAGTAGAACTAAGGTAAAGCAATGCTTATTTTAAGTTACTGTTCTAAAACTTCTGATCAAATTTTTAAGGTATTTCTAAAAAGAGATTTATTCTCTTTTCTACTCTATTTATAAGATGAGGAAAACACTTTGTAAAGTTCATATAAGAGCATGTTTGAAAACTAAATTAAATTGAGACAATAAGTCATTATAAATTGCATCTACAGAAGAGAATTGTTTAATTGATCCCTTTAGAAATTAATATTAATGAAAATTAACAATGGGGAATTGTTGAACTTAGTACTTTTCATATAACTTTAGTTAATGTAAGAGATATTTGTTAGTCTACTAAAGCCACCATGATAGAATAAAACAGACTGGATGGCTAAAACAACAGAAATCTATTTTTTTCATGGTCCTGGAAATTGAAAGTCCAAGACAAGGTTTCAGCAGAGTAATTTTCTCCTGAGGTCTCTGTCCTTAGCTTGCAGATGGCCAACTTTGCACTGTATCCTCACCTGGCATTTCCTCTGCTGTCTCTTCCTCTTCTTCCAGTCCTACTGGATTAGAGCCTACCCTATTACCTCATTGTACCTTAATTATTTCTAAACAAGACCTATCTCCAAGTACAGTCATTGATGGTTAACATTTCAACATAGGAATTTTAAGGGGATACACTTCAGTCCATAACAGACTGTTAAGTACTAAAAATTGTGTCTTACCTTGGAACTTTATCAGCTAATGCAGATGAATCATACATAAATTTATACTAAGAAGTACATTATTAAGAGTTAACTTTGTGTATATGAAGCAGAAAGCTTTATTCTTTCTGAGCAAGACTGTCAATGAAGTTTATCATACTACACAATGGAACAATTACTAAAAATACATTATCAATTTCCAACATCTTTATTGAGGTATAACTTACATAGAAAAAAATCTGCATGTTCAATTTATAAAGTTGAAGTTTGGGCATCTGTAAATACTTGTAAGACAATCACCACAATGAAGGTAGTAAACATATCCATCTGATGTGGTTTGCCTGTGTCCCCACCCAAAACTCACCTTGGATTGTAGTTTCCATAATCCCCACCTGTCACTGGAGGGACTCAGTGGGAAGTAATTGAACCGTGGGTGTGGTTACCTCCATGCTGCTGTTCTGGTGATAGTGGATGAGTTTTCACGAGATCGTATGGTTTTATAAGGGGCTTTTCCCCCTTTTGCTCAACACTTCTCCTTCCCACCATTATGTGAAGAAGGATGTGTTTGCTTCCCCTTCCACCATGATCGTCAATTACCTGAGGCCTCCACAGCCACACAGAACTGTGTCAAATAAACCTCTTTTCTTTGTAAATTATCTATTCTTGGGTATATCCCTATAGCAACATGAGAATGGATGAACACACCATCATCCCCAAAAGTTTTCTGTGTCAGCTTTGTGATTTTTGTTTTGCTTTGTTTTGTCATCTTTGTGTGGTAGAAACACTTAGCATGAATTCTACTCTTTTAGCACATTTTTAAGTGCACAATACTGTAGGGTTAGCCGTAGGCACTGTGAAGTACAGCAGATCTCTGGAACATACTCATCCATTGACAGATGTATGCATAAATAAAATGTGGTGTGTATATATAAATGGAATATTATTCAGCCTTAAAAAAAGTGGTATCCTACCATTTACAATAACATGGATGAATCTCAAGGACATTATGCTAAGTGAAATAAACCAGTCAGAGAAAGACACACACTGCATGATTCCACTCACATGAGGTGTCTAAAATAGTCTGACTCATAAAAACAGAAAGTAGAATGATGGTTGCCAGGGTCTGAGGGGAGGGGAGAAAAAGGAGTTGTTGCTCTTTGTTAAAAAATATTTACCATACCTGTGATTATTAAATTTTGTTTAAACAAAGTAGAAAAGTCTTCCCCAAGTCTTCCACAAGAGGATCTTATCTCTTTCAAATATAGACTTAAATGTCATCTTTCAGAAAATCCTTAAAGATTACAAAATCTGAAAAAGTTATTCCAAACCAGATATTGAAAATAACCCTGTTTTGGCCGGGCATGGTGGCTCACACCTGTAATCCCAGCACTTTGGGAGGCCGAGGTGGGCAGATGACCTGATGTCAAGAGTTTGAGACCAGTCTGGTCACCATGGCGAAACCCTGTCTCTACCGAAAATACAAAAATTTGTCAGCCGTGGTGGCACACACACCTGTAATCCCAGCTACTCGGGAGGCTGAGGCAGGAGAATCGCTTGAACCTGGGAGGTGGAGGTTGCAGTGAGCCAAGATCGCACCACTGCCCTCCAGCTAGGAAAACAGAGTGAGACTCAGTCACAAAAAAGAAAAGAAAAGAAAAGAGCACTGTTTTATTTTCTATAGAACACATTTCTGATTATTTTACTCTTGGATTTGTTCATTATTTTTCCTCCACAACATAAAGACTCATATATATTCTTTTAATGGAGGAACCTTGTCAGTCAAATTCACCACTACATAGTTATAGCTAAAACAGCACCTAATAAATAAGGGACTTCATATATCTATAAGTTTGCTATCATATCATACTAATAGTCTTATAGTTTCATTGTTTACATTTTACAAAAAAATTATATTTTATAAACGTGTATTAAACATAAAAGCATAAATATTAAAAAGTCAGTAATAATTTTAGAAACCAGAGATAGTCACTAATGATATTTGTTTATTCTTTCACTGTTTTTCACTTTTATTTATATATATTGGTATCAAATTCTATGATACTACTCACTGATCAGCCATTCGCACCATAGAAAATATGTAAAAAAATTGATATTTTATAATATAATTATATATTATTCTACAACATCATAAAAACAGGTAAGTAGTTACAGACTCAGAGATAAGGAGCCATTTTTAAAAGTGAGTCATAATCAAGGACTTTTAAGTAAAACAATAAATGTCGCTACTTAAAAATTAGAGTCGGCCAGGCTCGGTGGCTCACGTCTGTAATCTCAGCACTTTTGGAGGCTGAGGCAGGTATATCACCTGAGGTCAGGAGTTTGAGACCATTCTGGCCAACATGGGGAAACACCATCTCTACAAAAAAAAAAAAAATACAAAAAAAATACAAAAAATTAGCCAGGCGTGGTGGCGTGCGCCTGTAGTCCCAGCTACTCGGGAGGGTGAGGCACGAGAATAGCTTGAACCCAGGAAGCATAGGTTGCTGTGAGCTGAGATTGTGCTGCTGCACTCTGGCCTTGGTGACAGAGTGAGACTATGTCTCAAAAAAAAGAAAAGAAAATTAGAGTTGTCTATGCAGGAACAAAAGGAAATAATCACTTGTCTCACACAAGCAAATAAAAATTCAAAATGGAAATATATAGAAAATAAATTATTAAAGAATTAATATTATTAGCATTGCACAGCTCTTGAAAATAAGCAGAATGCGAAAATTCTCATAACAAAAATAGTTTAAAAAGAATTCAGATTATAAAATTCTATACAATGCTAGTATAATTCTATAAAGAAAGAGTTACTAATTTTAGTTTTACAAAAAAAAAAACTATATAATAAAATTAAAACCAAACCTGAAATAATTTCGCTTAACATATTAGCCAAGTTTAATTAACAGTGCTTGGAATTTGTATCATTTTGTGCAAATATTGTTAGCTGGAGTGTAAATTGAAATAACCTTTCCAGATATGACTTTAGTGGGAATTTATTAAAAACTTTAAAATATGTGTTATTTGATACTAAGAGATTCTACTTTTTGGAATTATGCCAAATAATGTGAGGCAAATGTGTAATTATGTATTTATGAGATATTAGTAATGCCTCATTTATAAACTACAACATGCCTAAAATAGTGTTTAATTGAATTGAATAAAAATATAAATAGATGTTATTAATGTTGAGGAATATGTAATTGTTTGGAAAGTAATTTTTTTTTTCTTTTGAGATGGAGTCTTCCTCTGTCGCCCAGGCCAGAGGGCAGTGGCGTGATCTCGGCTCAAGGCAAGCTCCGCCTCCCGAGTTCAAGCCATTCTCCTGCCTCAGCCTCCCGAGTAGCTGGGACTACAGGCGCCCACCACCACGCGCAGCTAATTTTTGTATTGTTAGTACAGACGAGGTTTCACCATGTTGGCCAGGGTGGTCTCGGTCTCTTGACGTCGTGATCTGCCTGCCTCGGCCTCTCAAAGTGCTGGGGTTACAGGCGTGAGCCACCGCGCCCGGCCGGAAAGTAATTTTTACAATATATTTTTTAATAAGAGTACAGTGTAATCTATTTTAATGTACGCAGAAGTCTGACTCTTTCTGCTCAAGAAGAGGCTTGAAGGAATAAGAACATGTAAATACTGAACACCACTGGATGTTACAATCTTTTTTCGCATGTGCTTTTTGCCTCATCCTCTTGGTTACTTTCTTCCCTTACTGCTGATTCAAGGTCTACGCTGTTAGCAGTGAGGCCTGTTCTTTAAAGCAATAATTTCATGATATTCTCTTGTCCTTGACAATTACTAAATATGAAACCAGTTCTTCCGACATTAACAAAGTTAAACCATTAATAACCCCAACTAAGGAACTAGGACAGTTTGTTATACAGGAATATTCAAATAGATTATAAGAGGTATGAAACATGTTTCAAACTTAAAAGAAAATCCTAAAATAAAGTTATTTTAAAAATCCTAAAGTTAAGCTTTCATCTTTGTTGAATTTGCCAAGTATGTGATTACTAAAGATGTAAAACGCTACTCCATAGCCATTTATTTTTACTTCAATCTGCAAAAACAACAGAAATCTCTGTGCCCCATTTTTTTCAACTGCAGACAAGATCCTCTAAACAACATTTCGATCAGTACAATGGTACAGCTTTACTATTTATATCCACAAAAGAACTGCAATAAATCTTCACTCAAAGGTGAAAATGGACTGAAAGGGGAGAGATGCTGGTAGACTAAAAAATGGCCACGTGGGGGTTAGTCTGTGAGGCAACAGTGAGATTTGAAACCATACCATTTCAAACAGGTTGATTAATTATCCCCCCAAAAAATGATTAATTGTTTCCAATCAAGACATGGTGTGCTTGAATTTGTTTAACCCTCCTTTCCTCAGATTCATATATTCTCAGATAAGACCAAAACAAATTTTAACTCTACATGAACCTATGTGTTTCGAAGAGATGACTATTCTACTTTTCAGCAATAGTATGTAAATTCTGACCAATCCCTATCAAGTTGTGAGTAACTCCAGTTCCTAAATCCTTTACAAACCTTTTCTAACTTATTTTTTGAGATAATCCATGACTACCTTAGCACTCTCTGTCCTGCTGAAGCAATCAAGAAACCTGTTTGTTAAATTCCTGTGTATTTCTGGTTCTGTTGGTGCTGGGATTTAAATAAATAAATGGAAATAAAAAGGGGTTTGTTATGCAATGACATTCAATTATTTCAATTATTTGAAACATGTTTCAATTAAAAGCAAGAAATCAATAGTGAATCATCATCAAAATTATATTTAATTTTCTGTTAGCTGACAACAAACTTAAAGAACTTTTACTTTTCTGACATTGAAACATTACAAATCATTAAGTATGAAAAAGGTTAGTTTTACTCAACTATTTACTTTTACAAATTTGGTACCAGGGTTTTTACACCTCAAGATAGGAGTGGGATGGAGAAAAATCACATTTGGGACAACTTAGAGACATGTCTTTGTAAGAGTAGGAAAAGTTCATCAACATGGGGTGGTAGAAATATAGAATCTGATCTGTTTTTCAGAGAGCAGTCATATTCTCAGCATGTGTGATGTTAGGAGAGAAAACAGGTTTTGCACTGACGATAGATTTGCTTGCAGTTCTTTGTATGTGAAACCTAAAGGAAGTCTTCTGGTACTTACAGGCATTTGTATACTGTAGTTTGGGGAAACTCAGCTCTAAAAGACCAGAGTTTGGGAAGTAACGATAATACTAAAATTCTTGGACTGAATTTAATAGTGAACCATGCTTTGAGTGTTTGGTAAATTTTAATAGAGTGAATGTTGTAATTACAGGTTCCTCTTTGTCCTTCTATTTACTTATTTAAAAAAGATAAAAATTTCCAATAAAATAACTAAGAGAACAATACATTGAAATTATAGTTTAAAGATAAGTAACTAACACCTCTTTTCATTTCTTCAGGGCCAGGGACAGAGAGAAAAGATTATTGGTAGAAAATAAAATTACCAGTGATAATGAGAACAAAGTATCTCAAAATGGAAGGGACATAAAAGGAATGGAGTGATTATGGAATAATTAAGCCTCCAAGCCTCCTAGTTAAAGCTCAATGAAACACATAAGATCTGGGGCTAGCTGTGATAATTATTTTATATGTGTCTTAGAAGCATATGGCACCCTTAAATGATGTGTCCACATATGTTGTTGTGTAATGAGTTTTCTTACTGTGCTTATGTAGGTTATTCAAGTGCAGCACAAATCATGATACCACCTGTCATTTTTCTAACTGTGACATGTACTGTAAAATTAGTGCACCACACACTTATGTAATAAAAGTGGTTATTATTAATAAATAACAGTTTACTTTGAGAATAAAATTTTATTAGCTTATGTATAATTAACTCTCACTTACTGGTAGTTCTGGAAGAGCATGCAAACCCCAAAAATAAAAAATAAAGAGATATGTGTGTATGTGTGTAGGTATATATGTGCCTGTGTGTGTATGTATTTATGAAGTTAACTTTTGAATTGCAAAACACTGATACAAAAGTATTGCTAAAAATGGTTTGTTATTTTTATATTAATCTTCATAACTTGATGCTGTGATTTTTGTTTGAAATTAACGTTTTTTTGTCTCATGACAACTTAAATTTTCCTCTATCACATTATTCTTGTAGAAACTCTGGAAAATCTTAGTGTAGTTTATATAATAATTATTAAAACCTAAATGCTTATGTATAACACATTATTTTTATAATAACCACTTCTTTATTTAAATTACTACCTTTGCATTAGTATTTTTAAATGACACTCTAGAGAAGACTTAATTAACTCTGTGTTCTCTATGAAGAAAAGGATAATCTTGCTTTCTACTTCATAGTCTCAGTAGATCTTATTAAGCACAATTGCATATGGACCATGCAATTTTAAAAATGAAAGCATTTTACTGAAAAAGAAGAGATAACTTCTTCAAAAGTATACACTTTTGGTTCTTTCTGCTTTCTTTCATTAAAAACTAAAAGCACATGGTCATAATTTTTAACATCAAACAAATCTAAAAGGCTAAGTACTGTTAGTAAGTGGAAGTTTCTTTTTAAAACAATTTTCTAGGCTTGCTTTCTTTCTAGATAATTGGCATACAATCTACAAAAACTTTGACATATAATCTGCTTAAATATTTCATGAGTTTGCCTACACACACCGCCCCCCCACACACATGCACTCACAGCCCCCTCAACGAATTCATTTATATTTTATTTTATATTATTTTACTGGGATCATTCTATTAATGTAATTTTGACAAAGATTTTCTTTTTTAGCTCTTATTGAATATTGTAATACTATTCTTATAGAGCTGTGTTATTTGACATAAACTAATATTTTTTGAGTATGGTGTTATAGATCAAAGTTATAGATTAGAGTTAATCTTCCTTGGAAAAAACAGACTATGAGGTTTACATGCAAGGAACATACTGCAGTGCACTGCCCAATCTTGGAAATATCATAGAATCTGGGCTGATTGTAGAGAAAAGTTGAATAGTAATGCCATCACCATTCAGTAGATCTCAGCCTGTGTCTTCCCAATTTGATGGAAGCTAGGAAGGGTTTTGTACCTCAAACATTATCCAATCATGGCACCTGGTCTGTCTGTAGTGTTGACCTGAGCTCTTGAATGAAGGGCTCTCTTTACTTGAAAGCAATTACCAGAGAGAGTCTCTGCTAAGAGTCTTTATTTCCAGAAGCTGGAGGAATGAGTGTTATAGTCTTTTAAGAGGTCTGAACAGAGCACTACAGATTCCACTAAAATCTAGTGCAGAGGTGTCGGATCTTTTGGCTTCCCTGGGCCACACTGGAAGAAAAAGAACTGTTTGGGCCATAAATAAAATACACTAACACTAACGATAGCTGATGAGCTAAAAAAAAAAAATTGCAAACAAAATTCCCAATGTTTTAAGAAAGTTTACAAATTTGTGTTGGGCACCATGCAAAGCCATCCTGGGTTACATGCAGCCTCCAGGCCATGGATTGGAGAAGTCTAATCTAGTGCATTTCATATCTTGCACTACTTAGAACCACCTACTTTGTACCACATGAATAGCTAAGTTAGAAAACTTCCTTAGAGTCTTCTGTCTTTTTCAGAAGACATGAATAAGGGACTGGGACAAACCATTTCAAGTTCGCAACTGATATTCATCATATTCCTTTTCTACCAAACATTCTAGATCCCTATCATCCTTGTGTAGCGCCTCTGCTAATCTCTATGGATTATCTGATAGGGCTACATTTTCCTCTGTGAGATCTCTAAGTCCCTGATTACATAACTTCCCAGGTCTTGCTTTTGTATTTGTCCATATACTCTCAGGTATACTTGGAGGATTCTGAAGCAAAACATCAGTGGGTCACCTGGAAAAAAAAAAAAAGGATTCATTGCTGCTCCTATTGGACAATAGCAGCTCTAGCAGTTCCTGATGATGATCTTCAATTACATGACCCCAAACCCCAGGATGATGCCAAAGTTTTCCTTTCCAATAAATGACCAAAACTGTGTATCTATTCCTGCATTCTCTTCTGAAATTTGCCAATTTCCATTTAAAAAGTAGAATCTACTTCTCCTCTCAAACCTTGTAGGCTTATGACAGCTTCACCCAAGAATATATGATAAAAACGATAATGTGTGACTTCCACTGTTCAGTTTTCTGCTTTGTGGGATGCTGGTGGCTCTTTGAAAATCTGTCACAATGTTGTGAGGAAGCTCTAACTATTCCACACAAAGATGCCACATGGCAAGATCCACGAGAAGATCTAAGGATCCCAGTTTTTAGGCAGCATCAACCATCAAATGTGAAAATGAACAATCTTTCAAATGACTCTAGTCTGTTTTTCTTCTGAGAATTCTACCATCATGGAGGAGCAATAAGCCACCCCAAATATGGTCTGTCCAAATTTCTGACCTGCAGCAGCTATGAGCATAATTCATGTTTGTTTTATGCCATGAAGTTGCAGGATAATGAATTACACACCAATAGATAACCAGAACAGATGATAATTCTTTCCTTTCCAGCTGGTCTTTTGGTACAAGACACACAAAGTAATAGGGTAGTAATCATGAGTTAGTTTAAGGGAACCTTCCCTGTGGCCCATGAAGTAAGCATTTCTATTTTGGGAACCAGCACCTTTAGATACACAGAATATTGATTTGTGGAGGAAGAAAGCCCACATTCCCAAATGGGTTATTTAGAGTTATGGGAAGTGCAACTATTCCTACATTCATCCTTGGTTTCTGATATGTCATATTCTACTATTGCGCACAAACTCTCATAAACTAATTTACACCGTATCCTAAAACATGGATCCCCATTTTCTGAGGGCATCGTCCCCAAGCTATTGCCTCATACTATCCCTTCAAAAATGACTCCATCATTCTCTAACTGGCAGCTTCTAGATGATGTGATATATGATGTGAACAACAAATGTCATGGTATATCCATGCTGGCAAACTGCTTTGCTCTAAAATAAGTTATTTGATCTAAAGTTATGTTGTGAAATCTTGTGTCTGTGTATCAAACACTAGATAAGTTTCCAGATACTGAAGCTGCCTAAGGCTCTTTTGACAGGAAATTTAAACTCTTACACAAAAACTGTGCCACTTACAGTAAAAACAAATCATGGTCCTTCCGTAGTGAAAGATATTTAATATAATAAACTTTTCACCAAGTGACCAGTTGGTCTCATCAAGTGATTTTGGACTCAGATTTGTCTCACTTCTGACAGATTGGATATTTGGATTCTCTGTAGCTAACCCAGTGTTGGTGAGTTGGGAGCTTCAGCTAGTGAGCCTCTCCATAAGCTATTTTTTTTTTGCCACCATACATAAAGCATCCATGAGCTTGTGGTTCAAATATTCAGGCAGTCAATAACAGGGATTAGCTGACATTAACTCACCATGTTATTCTGTTCTACTTCTTGTTTTGTGATTCTTCTATAGTAAACATTCTTTAAAGCATGTTTAGATATGATACAAATAAATCCACAATTCATGCTCACTTTTGCAGATCGCTTCATATCCCTGTCTCCCAAACATTCTTTGCAATAATTTTTCACTCTTTTATCAGTCCTGACCAAACAGCCAAGCCATTTGCAATTGCCCATCTGACTTATATATTCTAACTCTATGTCTCATCTCTTTTAATATAAAGTGTAGCGATAGATACACTACTTGAAACCTTGCTTATTGGGAGAATTTGTCCTCTGCCCTTTCAGGACTATGCCTGAGTATAGCTGTACTGCAGTCACATATTTTCATCTTGCAGTAACTTTTTCTGTTGACCCACCCATGAACATGAACCAAATGTGATTTTCAGTTTCCACCAGCTTGTCATAAGGAAGCTGTCTTCAAGTCATAGATGTGTGCTGAGGAAGAGGCAGTGGTCAAATATGGTAAATTTCACACACTGAGCCACTTGCCTATGCAACTTTATTGATTCCCTGGCTAATCTATGGTACATGGTTTACGTCTAATCTATGGTATATTAATACTTTATTGCAACTGACTTCTGATGATTCTGCCTTATTTCATGCAGTCGGTCTGACAGATGCACAATGTCACTGCATTACCTAATATTCCATCATAATTGGGTCCAGGGACACAACAAAAGTTATTTTGAGAATAGTTTATAATTCTCTTTGCCGAAACATGGCCTCAAAGAAACCTCTTAAGTTTTACTTTTTTTCTTTTAATGAGGATTAACATATAAAGCACTTGAATTCATGAAACTTTTTCCCACCAGAATTATCTTAAAACTATAGAGTTGGCTTACTTACATAGTAAAACAGATAGTATTATTCCCAAGGGTGTCCGGTCTTTTGGCTTTCTTGGGCCACATTGAAAGAAGAGTTGTCTTGAGCCACACATAAAATACACTAACACGAATGATAGCTGATGAGCTAAAATTATCGCAAAAAAACTCATAATGATGTGACAAAGTTTATGAATTTGTGTTGGGTCTCAGTCAAAACCATCCTGGACTGCTTGTGGTCCATGGGCCATGGGATGGACAAGCTTGACTTATACAATAGCCTGTACTTGCTTCAGAACCTGTTCTTACTCTAGGTTCTACTCAAGCCTGGTGGTCATGCTAAGTGTGTTGGGGCTGTATTTCAAAGTGTTAATGCCTCCAAAATCTAAAGAGAGTTACCAGGGGTTGTGTGTTCTCCTTGGCGACAATAGATGCAAAATGCAATAATAATGTCTCTTTGTTGGAGAGGCTATTATTTCACAGCAAATTTTACTAGATTGCTAAAACTTTCCAAGATATGTTGAATCCTGAATAACTGCTGTGTTTATCTGCAACTGTAGGTATTGTGTACTTTTCAAAATAAGATCTCCGACATAGCTGTTTATCTGGAGTCCCGTGTTTAATCCTGACAAGAATGTTGTGGATGTTGGCTGAAGAAAGGTCCGTAACACACTCTTGAATTTTGCATATTGGGTTGGGTAAGCTTAGGAAATATTTTTTTTTTCCTGGAAAGATATAAACCACATTTTTAACAGAATTCATTCTTAAGAGATAACTTTGTAGGTAAATGTTTATATTGCTTTCTTTAGTTGTCTGTGTTCTTCAGGTTACACATTCTGAAATACGTATTTTGCAATAAGAAAAAGAACAAGTGTTACATAAAACAACCATAAAAGGAGATGTATAAATTAAATACATTATTATCACTTCAAATTATATGCAAAAATCTGTTGGGGTGACTGTCCTTGGGGTTAAAAAAGGTACTGTAATCACTGCCAAAATATTTTTACAATATGGTGCTCTTTATTTATATGAACCTAGAGTCATGTGCTCCATTGGAAATTACAAATACAATGACAGTAATATTTGTTCTACGAGTAGTATAATGTTAATTTTCTCATTAAATATTGCAAAAAGGCATGTCAAGGAGATATTATTCTCATACAAAATATTTTCTGTCATTATAGTTGTTAGAGAAAAATTAAAGTGGAATTCATCTGACTTGAGCAAATAAAGCTTTACAAAGCTATTGAATTTAAGTGTCCTCCCAGGTTCGTAATCATAATATAGTGTGTCACAGTAGGGGTTGCTGACCATAAAATAAACAATGAAAGGAAACATTATGAATTTAAAAACAGTTTTCAATTATTTTAAAACATTAATGAAACACTCCCAAAGAAATATGGTAACCAGAAAAATGCAAACTACTGATTACACTTCAGTTAGCAGTGAATTTGCAACATATGGAGAAATTAAATCTTTATGGATCAATGAAAACTTAACGAAGGTGATTTCCAAAGTCAGTGTTGAGATCACTCATGAAGTTAGAGAAACATGAAGGTCTTCTAAGTGAAAGGGATTTTATGAATCCATTGTAAACTGATTCCTTTAAAAATAGCATAATTTCATTTCCTTTTGTCTTACAAATTATTTTACTCATAAAATTTAAATATTTTAAAAAGTAAAGTATTGATTCAGTTTTTGAAAACATTTATAAATTGAATAAGTGAAAAATTTAACTTTTTGGAAAAGTTCCCAGACCACATTTTTCTTTTATATGTCAGTTAATTTTTCATTTTGTTCTTTCCCAGAAAATAACATTATGTGCAATTCCAAAAAAAGGAAATTCATTGAAAAAATGTTAATTGTCATAATTTATTAAGCACCCAGCTGAAACATTTGATAGGTTTCTAAGAATTGTCTGCCTTGAAAAACAATGCCTTTATTACATTTTATTTTATAGGTTTGTTTTTTCTTCAGTTTCCAAAGAATTTACACATAACAAATAATTTAAACAGAACAGCTCATAGCATTATAAATATAATTAGTTCAATTAAATGATTTCCTCCAAAAAATGTTCAAGTTAACTAGATTTTAGAAACATCATAAACTGGAAATATTTTATAGAATTTTTACTATCACTGTTATATGCAAGTTAAAAAATAAGTATTATTTTCTCTGTAGAGTTAACATTATTGCATTATAAATATACTTGATCAATAATTTTAATTAAAATAGAGAATCACTAGCATCATTTTAAGACTAATTTAAATTATACTAAGATAATCTTTTAAAAAATGTTTAACCACAAAAAAATTATTAAATTTTTAGAGACCTAGGTAAAATTAGAAAATATATTAATGCTCTTTAAAATCTAATACATAAAGTTTCAATTATGAATGTATTCATAAATTTAAAATTTGTAACTCTGTGGCCTCCATACCAAGACCCAAGATATCCACTTATATTTTCATACATCCGGTAATTTGAAATGCTAATGTTTAAAAGGTCCACAAAACATTTGATTAAAGCAGAACAGTATAAATATTTTCATAGCAGTATCTTAGGAAGGAAGTTAAGTGATAAAAATATTGCTACAGCAATTTTACATTTGGTTCAAATGTTTGTAGCAAATACATAACAGTTATAGATATTTTCTTAAAATTTCATTTGAGTAAATAGAAAAGGTATGAAATGAATTAAACATACTTTACAATGTTATCATTGAAAGATAACATCTTTTCTTTCTTTCTTTTTTTTTTTTTTTTTTTTTTTTGAGACGTCGTTTCGCTCTTTTTGCCCAGGCTGGAGAGCAATGGTGCAATCGTGGCTCACTGCAACCTCCGCCTCCTGGATTCAAGCGATTCTCCTGCCTCAGCCTCCCGAGTAGCTGGGATTACAGGCACGCGCCACCACGCCGGGCTAATTTTGTATTTTTAGTAGAGACGGAGTTTCTCCATGTTTGTCAAGCTGGTCTCAAGCTCCCAATAGTGCTGCAATGAACATATGCATGCATGTGTCTTCCGCCTGCCTTGGCCTCCCGAAGTGCTGGGATTACAGGCGTGAGCCAACGTGCCCAGCTGAAAGATAACGTATTTTCAAATTTGTGTTGAATTTGAGACAGCTAAGGTGCATCTTTGTTCGTGTGTTTTCAGCACTCCTGTCTGGATAACACCCTTTCATTGTCTGTCGTGTTCTTCATGCAGTTTCAATGATTTAGATATTTTATTACTTTAATTACAAAATTAGCAAGCTTGTTCAAAAGCCCATGGAAAAAAAATGAACTACAACAACTGAAAATATTGCGTAATATCTAGGAATTTTACAACAAAAAGAACATATAATTTATATGCCAGGATAATCTTTGCCACTCTTACTACAGAGTAAAAAAAAAAAATCAAGAAGACTGTTACCTACCTGTAACTGCTGAGCTGAGACCAAATCATGATAGCTGACATTTCCTAAGGCCAGTATTTACTCCATTCTTGGACATTCTGTGCCTATGTTTGATGAAAGTACGGCAGAATTGGTTCTCATCGATGGATATCCTTATAACCATCCATATATATTTAGAACATTGAGAATCATTACTCAAGTAATACCAAATGCTTGTATAAAACAATTTCCACTTAAAGTAATCTACTCTAGAAATTTCTATCTCTAGTTACATTTTGTATTTTCTTCTTATATTTAGTAAGTGGTCTTGAATTTTTTCAAACTGATAGAACCGAAACAGACATGGACAACCACGTTTTAATAAGCTAAAAAAATGATATTAGCCATTTCTCAAGCATAACACTAAAAGGTAAAAGATCCATAACAAAATTTTAGGTCATTCTGCTCTTGATGCATAAGCACTATTTTACATCTGTGCTGCATCTTGTAGCCTGATAACAAATACACACCCAGGATTTAATTATCACAAAATTTAGAACCATTGTTATATTCCCACATGTCTCTGTGTCGCTGCTCATTTTCTTTTTCAATTCATTTCTCTGTGTTGTTGAGATTAGGTCATTTCTATTTTCTATTTTCAATTCTTTACTCAATCCTTTCAATTCTGCTGTTGAGTCTGTTATGATTTTTCTTCAGGTTATTGGATATTTTAGTTCTAAATTTTTTTATTTGATTCTTGTTTATATATTCCTTTGTGCTGAGTCCACATTTTTCTGATTCTTCATAGCATTTCATTTACCTCAAAGATGTTCAGAATTGCTTATTAAAACATTTTCATGATGGCTATTTTAAAATTCTTGTTAGATGATTCTAACATCTGGGGCATCTCAGTGTGGTCATCTATTGACCATCTTCTCTCATTCAATTTCATATTTTCTAGCCTCCAGCTATAGTAAGTAATTTGTAACAAAACTGAATTGTTTTACATTATGTTATAACAAACTGTATCTTATTTGGTGAAAAGAGATGCTGTCTCTTTACTCTCAGGTGAAGGTTTGAGTCCCCCCCTCAGCCTTCATTGACATGGATGAGGGAGACGCTCCTTTATATCACTGGGTACAGATGAGTTCAGCCTCCTTACTAATTCTCCACGGATACCAAATTGGTTAGAGATAGGAAGATGCCTGTTTACTGCTACTACAGAGCATGGTCAAAGTCTTGGTATTCCATTCAGCTTCCTCTGACACTACAAAGCAAGAAGCATTGCTTCATTACCACCAGATGCAGTATAAGTTTTCCATGCTGTCCCCCTGACCTGAGGAGAGAGGTTTCTTACTATCTGGTAGGGATAATCAAAGTTCTAGCTACAACAGTCTTACACTCTGTTATACACTGGAAAATTAATGTCACAAAATCTAGGGATGGTAAGATAATTTATAAAATAGCTCATTTTATTTGAGTAAGATAACTTTGCTGATATGGAGAATATAGGTCATCTGAATATTCCTTCATATTTTAACTAAAGCCTAAAATTTGAATATAAGCTATCAATAGAGGTTTACTACTTTTCATTTTCAACTATTTTATTGCAACGATAAGTTTTTTCTACATTCTCTATATTATTTATTGTATATGGAGCAACACAGATATTTAATGTTAGAAACCTTGTTAGAGGAATTTTAAAATATCCCCTTGGTTTACACAATTGAGAAAAATTGAAACTTCAAAATGAATAGACCAAGGTAACACAGATCTTAATGACACATTTTTAGTGTCATTAAGACCTCTAGAGTGAAATTAAATTTACCTCACAGTGAGTTTGGCAGAAATCCATACTTGCATTTATTATTCAAATCTGATTCTTCTCCATGTCAGGTGTGCTGTACTCACATAACAAATACTTGTCTTTTTTTGTTTATTACCTGATTTGTGCATGTATTATAATTATGAGAACAAAACTTGTAATACAAACTTTGAATCTAACCTTGTTTAGTAGTTCCAGAAGTGACTATCTTTCCAAGGGCTTCAGATTAGGTAAAATGAAGGTGCAAAATTTAGTTTTGTCTCACTCATAAGTATGCAAGTGGCATTGGCCAGGATAGTGAGTATAAAACCATGGATGGCTGGTGCCATAAATGTAAAAAAGCAACTTTATTGTTTCATTAAAGTCCACAAAATTGATGAAAACATCCATTCAAATGATACATACTACGTAATGTGATGTAGCTTAATACTGTCTAGATATTTTTGTTTTAAATTCAAGAGATTCTAAGTATTTTTTAAAATGTTTACATGTTATATCAGATCCTTCTTGTTTTATTATTTTGCACTGCTTTTCCTAGATATATTACTTTAAAATTTCTTGCCTTTTAAAAGGGCCGACTAAATCATTTGTAATATTTTCTCTACATTACCTTAAAGTCTAATTTGCTAAAAAGTAAATCTTCAATCCAGTGATTTTCTTTCAGTTGTCCTTTTCAGAAAAAAATAAAAAGTTATGGTAGTGTACTATCACCATTTAAGTCTTTTCTTACATTGATTTTCTTAACATCAAATGTTATCCAAATTTAATTTAAATTTAAATTACAGATGACGTATTTGTCTGGCTTTGGTATCAGAGAGATGCAGGCCCCATAAAATCAGTTTCAAAGTAGTCTCTCTACTTCTATTTTTTGGAAGAATTTACAAGGAATGGTATTAAATTTTCTTTGAATGTCTTCTAGAATTCAGCCTTGAAGCCATCTGGTCCTGGGCTTTTTTTGGAGGAGAGATTTGTGTTTACTGCTCAATCTTTTTGTTTGTTACTGATGTGTTCAGGCATTCTATTTCTTTTTGATTCAGTCTTGGTAGATTGTACTTTCTAGGAATTTATTATAGAAGGTGTGAATGTAAATTGATATACCCACTCTAGAATACAGTCTGAAATTTTCTCAAAAAAGTTAAAAGTAGAACTGCTACATTTTCTTAATCCAGTCTATCATTGTTGGACATTTGGGTTGGTTCCAAGTCTTTGCTATTGTGAATAGTGCCGCAATAAACATACGTGTTGTGCACATGTACCCTAAAACTTAAAGTATAATAATAATAATAATAATAATAAAATAAAAAATAAAGTAGAACTGCTATATAACCCAGCAATTCCTTTATTGGATATATACCCAAAATAAATATAATAAGCACCTTCTAGAGATATCTGGATTCCCATGTCATTCTAGCATTATTCAGAAGATATTGAAACAACCTGTGTCCATCAACATATGAATGGGTAAACTTTTATATGTATATGTGATCTCATATTATATATATTACGAATATATAATAAGATAATCCTTTATATATCCTCATATATGCCCAATATATCCCATGATATTCTAACATTATTTATAACAGTAGATATATAATAATATATTGTATATACATATATAATGGAACATTATTCAATTCTAAAAGAGGAGATACTTCTATTTGTGATAACATGGATGAGCCTGGAAGACATTATGCTGGGTAAAATGAGATAGATGCAGAAATAAAAATACTGCATAATCTCACTTATATGTGGAATCTAAAATATAAAAAAGGCAAACACATAATCTGAAAATGGGACAGTGTTTGCCATAAGCAGAAAGGGGAAAGAAATGGAAGAAATAGGTCAAAGGGTAAAAATTATAATTATATAGAATAAATAAGTCTAACAATATCATTTTTCTGTATAAGGGCTATAGTTAATAATTTTATATAGAAAAAATTGCTACTAGACTAAGTTTTAGATGCTCTTAACACACACATACACACATACACAAAATTAACAATGAAAGGTGATGAATGGGTTAATTTATTTGACTATAATAATCATTTTTCCATATATATGTATATGAAAACATCAAGTTTTACACCTTAAATATATATGATAAAAATAAAAAGCAAATAATAATAAGTATATATAAACAGACACAGATCATCAGCATTTCAAAGGTCAAATTGCTTAGATAAAAGTAAATTATAGGTTCCAAAACCCAGAAAATTAGATTTTTTTGTCCTCTGTGGACCTCGATTCAATTCTACAACACATGACTTCTAAGAAAGTGCAACTGCCTTCTAAATTTCTAATCAGAATAAAAATAATTTAATAGCCCTCAGTGAACAATGCGTATGTTATTAAAATTTTTAAAAAGTACCAAGCCCAAATCTAAGTAATTATTTAGCAATCCACTAGCATTATACTTATAAGGAAAAAATTTCATTTTGACCTTCTTTCCCTTCTGGAAGAAGATGTGATTTTCATGGGCCTCTAATTATTTTCACAAATTTTCATATGTAAGTCCAGTGCATAAGCAAACATTCCTAGGCATAGACTGAGAGAATATTTTATGATTAAAATTATCTTTTAATATGATGAATTTTATTTATAGAATATCAGGGATTGGCTACTTCTTCATTCTTGGAATATATCTATTTTGTGATGATTTTATAATAACTGAGGAATTTATACCTCAAGTCATCTCTAGCATTTTTGCAAATATATTTATAAGTGAGATCTTACACTTCCTCTACTTTAAATGAGATGTTAACACTGTCTTTTTATAGCTCTTAGACTTCACGAGAATCAGATGACATGGTATGAATCTTTATAGAAACTTCTTTTCTTGCATTTTTCTTTTAAGTGTAAAAATTTTCCATGATAACAATCTGCTCCATTGCATGTCTTTGTAAGGTCAATACATAGTATAGTAGCAGGGTGATTTGTATATGCATGCACAGTATAGTATAGTGCAGGTTGATTTGTATGTGTGTGTGTTTCTGTTTAATGGTTTTTATATTTTTGATATTTACATTAAATTCTGGTTTTCAATTTTTCTAGAGTCACTATATGTAACATATTATTTCTATAACAACTTACCATTCATTCATAGAGTATGATTTTTAGGGGAGTTTATGATCCTTCTGTTGTTTATCCTCTCAATTATATATTGGCTATGATTCATACATTCATTTTTCCTCTTGCATTAACATGGCATTTTTTTAGCATCTTGGAATTTTATCTTTTTAATTTCATATGTTAAATTCTTATTTAACTTGTTTTCTTATTTCTTGTGTCTCATTTTTGTATTTAAGGATATATTTTTGAATTAGCCCTATATACTTTAATTTTTACATGTAATTTGTAGAATTAATTTTTCTATTTCCAGTTTTTACAAATGAACCTGCTACTATACTATGTATTGACCTTACAAAGGCATCCAATGGAGCAGATTGTTATATCACAGAAAATTTGTGCACTTAAAAGAAAAATGTAACATCCTTTATTAATTTGTACACCAGAAGAAAAAAATTATAACTAGCACTTGCTTCTCTAGTTTTAAAACTAAATGAAAGGTGTATTATTTTGTTTTCATGCTTCTATGAAGAAACACTGAAGACTGGGTAATTGATAAAGAAAAGAGGTTTAATTGACTCATAGTTTTGTATGGCAGGGAAGGTCTCAGGAAACTTACAATTGTGTTGATAATGATACAGACAGTGAAGTCCAGGGTGAGGCAATCTCAGATGAAGATAAAGAACTTGCTGGGAACTGGACTCAAGGTTATTCTTGCTTTGCTTTAACAGAAAGACTGATGGCATTTTGCCTCTGTCCTAGGAGTCTGTGTAAATTTGAACTTGTGAGAGATGGTTTAGGATATTCAGCAGAAGAAATTTCTAAGCAGCAAAGCATTTGAATGGAAGGAGAGCATAAAAATTTGGAAAATTTGCAGCCTGGTAATGCAATAGAAAAGGAAAAACCCATTTTAGAGAATAAATTCAAGCCATCTCCATAAATTTGCATAAGTAATCAGGAGCTGAATGTTTATCACCAAGACAATGGGACAATGGGATAAATGTCAACAAGGCATGTCAGAGACCTTTAAGGCAACCCCTCCTATCACAGGCCTGCAGGCCTAGGAGGGAAAAATGATTTCTTGGGATGGACTCAGGGCACCCCACTGCTCTGTGCAGCCTCAGGACAGTGTCCTGTGTCCATGCTGTTTCATCTCCAGCTGTGGCTAAAAGGGGCCAAGTTACACCTTAGGCCATTGATTCAGAGGGTGCAAGCCCAAACTTTGGAGGCTTCCATGTGGTGTGGAGCCTGTGGATGCACAGAAGTCAAGAATTGATTTTGGGAACCTCCACCTAGGTTTTAGAGGATGTATGGAAACACTTGGATATACAGGCAAAGGTTGCTGCAGGGATGGAGCCCTCACAGAGAGTCCCCACTGGGGCATTGTGAAGTGGAGCCCAGAATGGTAGATCTACTGACAGCTTGCAATGTGGTCCTGGAAAAGCCACAGACACTCAACACCAGTCCATGAAAGCAAATGGGTTGGGTGCTGTATCCTGCAAAGCCACATGGCCAGAGCTACCCAATGTTGCTGGGGTCCACCCTTTGCAACAGTGTGTCCTGAATGTGAGACATGGAGTCAAAGGAGATCACTTGAGAAATTTAAGGTTTAATGACTGCTGTATTGTGGTGACTAAAATGCTGATAGTGATATGGACAATGGAGTCCAGGCTGTGGTGGTCTTAGATGGTGATGAAGAACTTTTTGGGAACTGGAATAAAGGTGACTCTTAACTATGGTTTAGCAAAGAGACTGGCAGCAATTTTCCCCCTACCCTAGAGATCTGTAGAACTTTGAACTTGAGAGAGATGATTTAGAGTGTATGGTGGAAGAAATTTCTAAGCATCAAAGTTTTCAAGAGGTGACTTTGGTGCTCTTAAAAGCATTCAGTTTTATGCATTCACGAAGAAATGCTTTGGAATTGGAACTTATGTTAAAAAGGACAGCAGAGCATAAAAGCTTAGAAAATGTACAGCCTGATGATGCAACAGAAAAGGAAAAAAATTCTGAGGAGAAATTCAAACCATCTGTAGAAATTTGTATAAATAACAAAGAGCCAAATGTTAATTGCCGAGACAATGGGGAAATGTCTCCAGGGCCTGTCAGAAGTCTTCAGGGCAGCCTGTCCTATCACAGGCCCAGACCTACGAGGAAAAACTCAGGCCCAGGGCCTTGGTGCTTTATGCAGTCATGGGACTTGCTGCACTGTGTCACAGCCATGGCTAAAAGGTCCCAATATACAGCATAGACTGCTGCTTCAGAGGTTGCAAGCCTCAAGCCTTGGTAGCTTACACACAATGTTGGGCCTGCAGGTGCACAGAAGTCAAGAATTGAGGTTTGGGAATCTCCACCTAGACTTCAGAGGAGGTATGAAAATGCCTGGATGTCTAGGAAGAAGTTTGCTACAGGGGTGGAACTCTCATGGATAACCTCTGCTAGGGAAGTAAGGATAGGAAATGTGGGGTCAGAGCCCCCACTGGGTCACTGCCTAGTAGAGCTGTGAGAACAGGGCCACTGTCCTCCAGACCCCAGAATAGTAGATCCACTGACAGGTTGCACTGGGTGCCTGGAAAAGCTGCAGGCCCATGAAGGCAGCCGGCAGGGGGAATGTATCATGCAAGGCCACAGGGGAGGATCTGCCCAAGACCATGAAAGCCCACCTCTTGCATTACATGCCCCGGATGTGAGACATGAAGTCAAATGAGATCATTTTGGAGCTTTAAGATTTGACTGCTTTGCTGAATTTCGGACTTTCGTTACCCCTTCATTTTGGCCAATTTCTCCCACTTGGAATGGGTGTATTTACCCAATGTCTGTACCCCCATTGTATCTAGGAAGTAACTAACTTATTTATGGTTTTATGGGATCCTAGGTGGAAGAGACTTGCCTTGTCTCAAATGAGACTTTGTACTTAGACTTTTGGGTTAATGCTGGCATGGAATGGTGTGTTTCATGTGAGAAGAACATAAATTGCGGGACAGGGGTGGCATGCTATAGTCTGAATGTTTGTGTGTTTGTGTTTCCCCAAAATTACTTTGCTGAAACCCTAACTCCCATGCAAATGGTAGGAGGTGGGGTCTTCAGGAGGCAATTAAGTCATGGGGATGCGGCCCTCATAAATGGGACCAAGAAAGACCCTCTGGCTCTTCTACCATGTGAAGTAACAGTAAGAAATGTGTCTTTATAGACACCTTGGTTTATACCAATAAACTGGGCATCTCTGAGACACCAAATCTGGTGCCGTCAGTTTCGATTTCCCAGCCTTTAGAAATGGGAGAAATAACTGTATGTTATTTATAAGCTACCACATTTGAGGTATTTTGTTATAGAAGCCAATATGGACTATTACAAAAAAGTTACTTGTTTCTAATTTACCACAAAAAGTGGTTATTGTTTTACATGTAAATATTTAATTTCAAAGACCTATATGTTTGATTAAAACATGCTTCTGTTATGTTTCTTGCTTCACATTCTTTTCTTCTATTGCTTTTACAACCTTTTGAAATTCCAATTAAGATTTATACTGTAAAAAAAATTACAGTTTATATGCCCGAGAATGTTTAATTTTCACTCTTGAGTGAAAGTTTTAATTTATATAAAAGCCTAAGTGGATATATACCTATCAAAATACTTTGAATATATTAATTCAGGTCCTTCAGCTGTTACTTTTACTTATAAACATGTGTTATCACCCTAATGTTGTTTCTTTGTGGTTAATTTTGACCTTCTACCTGGTAATTTTTATGATTTGTCATTCAGGTTCTGCAATTTGGGCACAATGTTTCTGTTATATGTTTATTATATTTATGCTTGCCATGTTTTTCTTCTATTGACACATCATTATTAACCAAAAATATTCATAGACTTTGCTTTTATGTGTTCATCTTTTTGAATGTCTATAATTTACTTAAGGAGACTTAATCATATATACCTTGTTTTTACTTTATATGAAGTAGTTTTTAAATAATTAAAAAAAGTTACTTGATGAATACACCTTCATAACAATGTGCATGACATTTGCATTTAAACTACCATAACCAGCACACATTTACATACTTACTTACACACACACACAGAAAATATCCACACCCTGGAAGTTTCTTTTGTTCTCATAGAAAGCCCAAAAGAATATGGATTGATTGGATTGATAATCAAATATACCAAGGTTACAAGATGTAGTTCAATATACAAGTCAATTTTATATCCTATAAAAAAATACACATCTGAGGTTATATGAAATTCATATAAAAAACCTAAGATAATATAAAGTGAAAAAATCCCATAAAAATTGTATCAAAACCCATGAAATACCTAGAAATAAATGGAAATTCCATTTAGTTACTTTTGTAGTCTCCAAAGTTCTCTTTCCTCAACATATAAAAGATATATTTTAAAGGTATGTCTCATAATGCCTTTATCTGCATTTCCTGATAGACCTTTTCTATTCCCCCAGCCCAGGTTTGATTTCGTATTTTAGCATATAATTTTTTATCCGTTTGTTTTCTTTTTGTTTTTGTGTTTTAGAATGCAGAGAAACTCTAGAGGATAAAATCTTCTTATTGAGAAGGTTAAGGTTATGGCTGTTGTCCTTCCCCTCCCAGCAAATACGGTGTTAGCAATTTAATATTATTGAGGATTAGAGAGTTCATTTTAGAGATCTGTAAGGTTGCTTTTATTTTTCCCTTAGCCACAGGATATGACCCTTTGGGATTATTAGCTGAAATTCTGAGTGGTTTGCCCGTTTCAGTGCTACTGTGTTCAGATTAAAATCAACTTTGTTCTTGCTAGCATCTTACATCTCTGATACTGCTTAATTCTCTAGCCTTCCAGGGATTACAGCCTTCTGAGCATCTTACTTTGTCTTGACTTCTGTATGCAAAGTTTTGAATTTTGCAAAGGATTTGTAAAAGTATATAAAAATATTTCCGCTCGCTTCTGTGAGGATTCTTTGATGTCAGTTTTGTCTTTCAGATCACAGCCACTTTGGAGGATCTGAACTCCAATTCTGTTTGCACACTAGAGGCCCTGTTGCTGTCTGCTATGATTCAACAGCCCTGTTCCCTAACTGTCCTCAGGGTGCTCAGTTTTCTTCTCTTGGAGATTGAGTACCTCAGGTCTCATCAGCTTTCTAAAGCCTTTACACACATACACACACACACACAAACACACACATCCTTGCATGTTTTATTTCAGCCTTCAATGGGTAAGCTACTATAATTAGGAACATTCTATCCTAGACAGTGCCAGCATTCCCTATGTTAACACTTAAAACATAAATATATTTAAGTTTTTCAGAATGCTCTATTTTTTATAGTCATTGCACTTTAAATGGTCCATCTTATTTCTTTGTTGACACTTTCTCATACCAGTGTATTTTTTAATGAACTTTTTAAGAGCTAATATTCTCCAGAATTTGTGTCTTGTGAAAGTATATACATCTCTTCTGGGGTTTGCCTGTTATAAAGGCTCTACTTTTTAAGCAGTTATGATTTTTTTTTTGAGACAGTCTCGCTCTGTTGCCCAGGCTGGAGTGCAGTGGCATGATCTCGGCTCTGCAACCTCTGCCTCTCAGGGTCAAGCGATTCTCCTGCCTCAGCCTCTGGAGTAGCTGAGGCTACAGGCGCACACCACCACACCAAGTTAATTTTTTTGTATTTTTATTGGAGACAGGGTTTCACCATGTTGGCCAGGCTGGTCTCGAACTCCTGACCTCAAGTGATCCACCCGCCTCGGCCTCCGAAAGTGCTGAGATTACAGGTGTAAACCACTGTGACTGGTTGATCTACTTTTTATATGAGTGTATTTGCTGTGTGCTTCCCAAATATGCATAGTTTGCATTTGAATCTACCTCCCATGCTGGTAAGGAATAGAGTTTTCCAGTCCTTTTTGCCCAGTGAAATTTTGGCCAGATTAGGAAAAATATCCTTATCTGCCTCTGATATCCAGATTTACTTGGTATCAGTGCCTATTTATCAACCTTATTTGAGCTCCCTTTTTGCTTTAAGACATCAAGCAATTTTATTCTTGATTAGGGATTCAATAACATATGGAACAATAAGTTTTTATATATTATTTGACAAAATGATTATTATTGTAAAGTAGTATTAAGTTTGATCACTATTTCTGTTGAGTAAACTAGATTAAATAGAAGTCCTGGTATCTGATAAAAGTAGTTACACCCAAGTATGCTTCTTTATAGTTATCATACAAAAATTATAATAGTTCCCTATTCCTAGTTATCACTCTAAATTTATATATTAATAAATAACAAATCACTTCTGCAATAACACTAGTGCTTAGTCATTAAACCAAAGACAATATTCCTTATTATTATATTTTTCTTTAAAGGTAAGCAGAATTGATAAACATGTCTTGATTAACATTAGTGACATTTTGCTCTTGGGATCTATTGAAATTCTTCATTGAATTCCTTGAGAGACAGTTATTCATTATTTCTTATTCAATAAATATTTATTGCTTCCTGGCCTTTTGATTATTATACACTAGATATAAAAAATGTGGTTCTACATATGAAGTTTATAATAATAAAGTAAGAAAAACAGAAAGTAATAAGAAAACAACTACATAAATATACAGTGTAAGAGAACATTATAGTGAGACTTTCTCAGTTTTGGCCAAAGAATGTGTATTTCATAGCTAAAGAAAAGAGTAAGAACACCTAGTCAGATCATGCTTAGAGATCATATGAACACACATGATAATACAGTATGTCAATTACAATTATCTTTTGAGATTGCTATGTGTTCGAACTCAGGGTCAAGGGCTGCCTTTTTTAATAAAGTAAAATATGTCGAAGTAAAAAGGTTATTTTCAATAGGAAAGACTGAGACTAACACAGAAACAGAGATAATGGAGGATATGGCTGATAAATTTGCATCTCTGAATAAAATGAGTTCATGGACATTTCCACTCATTGTCTTTTGTTTATACCTATTTGAAAGTTTGCAATTTTTTAACCTAAAATAACCATAAGAAGGACTTGGCATGACCTTTTAAGATTAACCTAAAGTATGAGGCACCAAAGACTTGTGTTAATTCTTCTTCCAAATGTACAGAAGTTCTTTCTTTCACAAATTAATAGTAGTAAATAAGAAGATAATATTCTAAAAACATATTAAAATACAGAGGCTATAATCTTACTGTTTCTTATATGGCTAGTACTATTTTCTTGGTAAAGTTAAAGGCAAAATAGATTCTAAATATAAGTCATTTTGCAAATTTAGCAGAATTGGAATGCCTATTTTGGCAAAGTATTAAAATAGTTATTTTCAAACACTGTTAGATGTCCAATTTGCTTCATAGAAATTTTGAAATACAAATGTCACACATAAATTCTACACAATTAGAATAAAAGAAGTCTCAAAAATAGGGTCAGAAAATGCAAACACACACACACATACTTTAAACCTTTGTTCCATTTTCTCTTAGATAACATACTTAATTATTGATCTACCAATTTTCAACAAATTATTTTCATGTTCTCATTTAAAAAAGTGTATTTTTTTCTGTTGCTATGATAAAATACCATAAACTGAGTAATTTATTAAAACTAATAAATTTATGTTTTACAGTTCTGGAGACTGGAAAATCCAAAACCACGGCACCAGCATCTGGTGAAGATCTTTTCATGGCAAGAGAGAAAACACATGCATGTCAGCTCAAATCTCTTTCTCTTTTAATAATGTTGCTAGTCCCATCATGGAGGCCCCAGCCTTATGACCTTATCTAATGCTAATTACATCCAAAAGGCTCCACCTCCAATCAACATATGAATTTGGAAATTAGGTTTCCAATACGTGAAATTTGGGAAATGTATTTAAACCACAAACAGCCAGTTTAAAAGATTTTGCATTGAATAATAAAAGTGAACCAACAAATGTATTATGTGTATTTTTTAATCAGGTAGAATAACAGACACAGTCTTTTAAAAATAGTTTTTGATTTAGCTAAATACTTCATTTTGTGTGCTTTATTCCACATTCTTTCCTTCCTTCCTACCTTCCTTCCTTCCTTTTTCCTTCCTTCCTTGCCTCTTCCTTTCTTTATTTTCTTCTTTTTTTAACTAAAAGAAACATCTTCATTCATAAAACTTTGGAAGTCACTATGAAAGAAACCACAAAATGTTACTGTATGTAATTTAGTAGAAAAAAACATTTATAGGCAGACTCATTGGCTTATGTTTGTATTCCTGCCACTTTGGGAGACCAAGGCAGGATGAGTATTTGAGCCCAAGAGTTCAAGACCAGCCTGGGCAACAAAGAGACACCCCATCTCTACAAAAAATTGAAAAACAAAGTGACTAGACATGATAGCAAACACCTGTAGTCCCAGCTACTCAGGAGAGAAGATTCCTTAAGTCCAGGAGATGGAGGCTGCAGTGAGCTGTGATTTTGCCACCGCACTTCAACATGGGTGACAGTGTGAGACCCTGTAACGAAGAAAAAAAAAAAGAGAAATAACAATTCTATATTCTCTAGTAGCTTCTGAAGAACAAAAGAATAATACAGACTCAACCAACAATGCTATACATCCAACAACGCTATAGGTTCAACAATGCTAAATGGCTGTGCTGTCCTATAGACAGTGTCTATGATCCACGTGAGATTTTTTTAAACTTAAATTGCTTAAAATTAGATTAAATTAAACTTTTACTTTTTCCCATCACACTAGCCATATTCCAAGTTCTTATCAGCCACATATGGTAGATGACAGTGCAGATATAAAACATGTTCACCATCATAGTACTTTCTAGTTAATAGAGCACTAATAGGCCCACAAATCAATCTAATTTTTTATGAAAGTAAGAGTTCCTAAAGTTTCTGAAATATCATAAAAACCTATAATCTGAAGTAAAATAAATTGAACTAGAAAGGGCAAGAGTTTAATGATTAGGTATTTGTTTATAAAATTATCTGTACAATATTTACAAATTTAGTCCACATATACTTTCCATGGGGAGTTTTACTGATTAAAATTGCATTTGTATTTTTATGTGGGAAGGTTTAATGTAAAATCTTTCAGTGAGACTCACTTCATTTTAATCAAATTTCAAGTTAGTTTGCTCTTGGTACAGCAGATGGCAGACCTTGACTTGCAGAGATTATGACAGTCCATCTCAATGTTAGCAGTTACTCTTGAAACCTTGATTGGCAACTATGACTTTAGGCTAGTAAAATTAATTTTACTTCTAATTAGTTGTAATTATAAGGTATCAATTTAGAATGTCACTGTCCTATTAAGGTTGGATACTGACTCAGAATATGCAGCAATTTAGAATGTTGACTGTGGCACTACTGTTTTCAATTGAGCATCATCCCAATGTAAAATTGTTATTTGATGGCCCTTAAAATTCAGAGACTTTATATTATATACAAAATTTGTGCCATTTTATTTTGAAAGATCATTTATCAATTAGTTATTTAATTTGCTGACATACAGATACTCAAAACTTAGATCTTACAGTACTCCATAGATACTTATAGAAGTTGACCATAGTGGAATGCATCTTTGTTAGTTTGTTTGTATTTTAGAAAAAGCTATTAAAAGAGGAGTAGGTTGAAATCATTACAAATAATTTTATAACACTGATGGAATTATTTTTACAACGCAAGGTGGTTACCTCTATCTTAGGAAGGCCTTTAAGTACAGTCTTAGAAATGCTGAACTGGGTGTGGCTTAAATGTAGAGACTTAACATCTTTCTTGAAATAATACTAAACATGTTGAAAAAATCTATTATATTAAATAATTCGCCATTACTGTCCAATCAAGTGAAAGGATAGAGAATTTCAGAAACCCTTGCTTTCTGACTTACTAACATAGAGTTCTCTTCATGTCATGATTTCCACTTTTGTTTAAATCATGCTGAAAAACTCACTGTTTTACCAGGAGAGCAAATTGCTACAGAATTCAATCTGGGAGTCTGTGAAGCAATTAAACACTAAAACAGACAAGCAGTAGGGGACTCTTTTGGCTCAAGAGAATAAATTAGGAATGATGTTAACACAGTTAAGTTAAAGAAAAATTTTAATGGGTAGGCTCAGATGGTAAGTTTGTGGAAGCCCACAAAAACTCAGAATGAGTACCTGCTAGAATTATATTTACAATCTAATTAGATCTCAGGTAGAATATTATGAACATGTGCTTTATTTAAGTAGAATCTTTGCTAATTTTGATTATATAATCTGTCCGTGGCTAGACAAAATCAATGATGCATGAATTATTTAATAGATGCATAATAAAACTTTTACATTTCACATTTAGTTTAAAAGATTCAAATTATAAATATGAGACAATTCATTAAAACAAAATTATATATGCATATATATGTGTGTATGCGCACGTGTGTGGAGGTATATGGATTTTTTTTCCTTACAGCCTTTTTCTTTAATCCAGCGAATATGTATTTAATGTTTACTATATAGACGTATTTATCTTTAGGAAAGCAAAAGGCAGAGTCTCTGATATCTGTCATTAATGAGAACACAGTCATTTATGTGGAGAGACTATGAAGAAAATATTATCATCTACATATGAAGATTATTTTCCCAAAACACTGATGGAACTACTAATAATTCGTTTGTAACTATTTTTCTTTTTTTGAGACAGAGTCTCTCTCTGTTGCCAGGCTGGAGTGTAGTGGCATGATCTTGGCTCACTGTAATCTCCGTCTCCCAGGTTCAAGCGATTCTTCTGCCTCAGCCTCCTGCGTAGCTGGGACTACAGGTGCCCGCCACCACGCCCAGCTAATTTTTGTACTTTTTGTAGAGATGGGGTTTCACCATGTTGGCCAGGATGGTCTCGATCTCTTGACCTCATGATCCTCACGCCTCGGCCTCCCAGAGTGCTGGTGTAACTATTATCTTAATCCTTAAGTCTAATATTTGGGAATGGCTCCTCCAATCACTAAACCCAAATTCTGTGATTCAACTTAAATTTCTCACATGACATCTTCTAACTGGATACCATGCTTCTAGCCTTTCTCCAACAAAATTAATTCACATAGTCATGGATTGTTAAAATATCTTTCTAAAATTATTCACTTAAAAAGTGCTTAAATGGCTCCCTGTGGGTTTATAGGAGCACTTCCAAAAGTTGATTAATCATCAGAATCATATGGTTTTCTCTTAAAAATACACATATTTAAAGACCCAGAAGTATAGAATTAAAATCTCCAAGAAAGAGCTTTGCGAGCTTTACATTCAACAAGTATTTTAAAAGTACAATTTCCTACTTTTGAGAAACATTGGTTATTCGAGTCAGCACAAGTCAGAAACAGAAACCATAGTAGTCTTTTCAAACTAGAAAAATAAAATTTAATATAAAAAATTGTTAACTATTTATAAGGTTATTATCTAGATATTTTAAAGGTACAAAGAGAACTCTAAGATACCATGGAAGTATCAACTGCAAGATACAACTACTGACCCTTGTTCTGAGGGAATAAATGGAAGTGGTTACAATAATTCAAATTTAGAAACTTCTAGAAGGGGCCACGGAAGCTAAAATTAAGACCTCTGGCCCAGAGGTGATGCTGGTTTATACTAGTGTCTCTCAGCTGAGAAGAAGCCCCTCAATCCCATCTCATCCCCATGTAGCTGACATTGAGACCTCTGAGTTGTGATACCTTCTGGGTGGTCCAGATACATTTGAGGTGGGGCACCGTGACACTGGTTGTGCAAACGCTGGAAAAACTGAAGACTTGATTCAGCAACTGTTAAAATGATGGAGTGCTGCCAAGCTGAACAAACATTGCTGGGCAGCTGCCCACAGAATGAGGAAGCCTACAAGGAACCTACAGGAAGTACATTGGAAGTGTAAATCCCGTCTTCCTTTTCCAGTCTTACAGTCTCAGTCTGCTACTTACTGTTGGCGTATACTTACATAAATTCAGCATGAAAAGAAACAATGTGGTTTGCAGATTCCCTGTGTCAGTTTACCAAAGCAGGTTACAGAAGCATGGTGTTGGAGCTGGGAACCAATTGCTTTAAAACTAGCACATCAGTCTACCTGACAAAATTTGAAAAGATATGTTAGAGTCAACGGGATCCTATATGGTTTGCAGAGGGTCTGTCCATTGGTGGTCCTTTAAATGCAGCTCCTGCCAAGCACTTATCTGCGCATTGTCTATCGTAAATAATTCACTCACTTCTCCATTGTATTAAATATGAACGACCCTTTAATACCACACTGCCTTTGCTCCCCTTGGTTTATTTACCTACAATGAATTTTCACCTATCATCCATCTAAATGATACCTTATTATTGTCCGGGAATCTGTCTAATTTCAACTCTCCATAAAGGCTATGCTGATCCACATTTTGCAACCCAACTAACACATGCACACACACACACTCACACACACACAGATAAATACATATATAATATAATATGTATGTATATAATATATACATATGTGAGTATAGATATATATATATAAAATATTTACTGGCACCTTTAATATTTTGTGTAGTTTGTTCTGTTGAAAAATTGCAGCCTCTGTTGCAAAAAGTAACATCTACCCTACTACCATTGGTAGGGTAGGTGTTACATTAATGTTACACGTTAATGTCTTTAAAGTGTTGTTTAAAAGGCATTAAACTGTAATGTCTTTTATAATGAGTCATGTCTCTTTTATTTCAATACCTTGCAAAGGGCTGACATGTAGCAAGTAACGAATTATTTTTTAAGGAAATAATTAATTAAGACATCTAAGAGCAGCCCTCATGGATAAATCTAGATAATTACATAGAGATTGTAAAGTGACAAATATTTTAAGAGTAGTGTTTTTGTAGAAAGTGTATCAAGAAAAAAGGTAGATATAAAAAGTCATGATTCAATCAAAGATAGACCCATAGGTGTAAAATATCTCTCACAAAATCTGTTTTTTAAATAAACATGAATAAAGATAGAAAGTCAATTTAACTGTTAAGAATAAAACTTTATGATAATAGTAAAACATTTCTTATTTAGGATAGAACTATAGAAAAAATATTAACTCATTTATAATGAAATATTTAATGTATTTTCCTCATTATTCTATGCTAAACCTTAGAGGATACAGTGACTATCCAAGGCAGTGTATGTAATATAAAAATACGGTTGCGTTTAACATGAAAAGAAAAAGCAATTGTACATAAAATGAATCTGTTGTTTAAGCTAAGGTTTGAATAGTTACTTTTGTAGAGATAATGGTTAATTTTGTTAGTACAATTTTCTAATGTGTAAAATGCAAGTCGGAAAAAAATTTTTTTTGCCCTGTGGAAATGAAAATAAGTAAGTAACAATTATATTATTATAATCTTTCAGTGGATTTTTGCATAACTTATTTTATGTAGTCTTCACAATAATCTTATGTCATCCTTATCAGGGATTTTATTTCCAAGGTTCTATAACACAGAGTGGTTAAGAAATTTGCCAAAGCAACAAATTACTTAAAGTGGCAGAACATGTGTTCATTAAACCCCATATACTTTCTGACAAATACATCCTTGTTATCAGAAAAGCAACTGCTTTCAATCACAAGGTCACTCTGAATGATTCATTAAGACAATGAAACTGAGTTAGGACGAATGGCAACATAAAGAAAATTTATAGTGAGAAAATGAATCTCTTTCTCTTTTTATCTCTCTGTTGTTCCCCAAACTGTAAATGCAATAATATTGAAATGAAACTAGTTCTGAAAACACTGAAAAAGGCCCAGATATATATATACTCTTTAGAAATCAATTGAAGAATAAAACAAGAAGATCCACATTTTCAGATCTTCAGAAATCTTGCCATTCTCTAAAGTAAAATGTCTCACTGGAAGTTGCTAAATATTTTTAAATCACTAAGGTTGTTATTCTTATCAAATTATACTTTTTAGTAAGACATTATTTATCTCAATGAATTTTAAGTATTACAAAAAGCTAAGTATGATAATTTAGATGAAAATAATATCCTATACAGAAAACAAATTGGGAGAAAATCAAGAATAGTTGTGTGTTGATGATATTTATAAACAGTAAAAGTTACTAAAGTGGAAATTTATTTCTGATAAAAGTGCAATAGAGATTATACACCATGAACAGTGAGCTTACTTAGAAGTCAAAAGATGTACCGTGAATGTGCCTGGTGGCTCATGCCTGCAGTCTCAGCAATTTGGGAAGCCAAGGCCGGTGGGTTGCTTGACCCCAGGATTTCGAGACCAACCTGGGCAACCTGGTGAAACCCCTTCTCTACAAAAAATACAAAAATTAGACGGGTGTGGTGGTGCATGCTGGTAGTTCCAGCTACTCGGGAGGCTGAGGTGGGAGGATCATTTGAATCAGGGAGGTGGAGGTGGCAGTGAACCATGATTGCACCGCTGCACTCCAGTCTGAGTGACAGAGCCAAGGCCTTGTCTCAAAAAAAAAAAAAAAGATATATCATTATGATAATATTATAATCCTGTTATTAAGGAGATGGAATGAAGAAAAAAGTAAGAAATAGAGTTTATAGAATAACTAAGTCTACAGAGACTTTAAAAAGATCAAATTTAAAAATAAAAGAATGTAATATCAAAATAGGACTTCTTAAATTATTTGGTTTTAGTTATCCTTAGCAAACTAACGGAGGAACAGAAAACCAAACACTGCCTATTCTCACTTACAAGTGGGAGCTAAATGACAAGAACTTATGAACACAAAGAAGGAAACAACAGGCACTGGGATCTGCTTGAGTGGGGAGGACAGGAGAGGGGAGAGGAGCAGGAAAGATAACTGTTGGGTACTGGGCTTAATGCCTGGGTGATGACATAATCTGTACAACAAACTCCTGTGACACGTGTTTACCTATGTAACACACCTTCATGTGTACCCCCAAACCTAAAATAACGTTTTTTTAAAAAAGTAAAAAATAAAAATATTAAAAAGAAATAGCATTTTAAAGTCAAAATGTTATTAACCTTAAAAGGTAAAAACAGCCTTTACTAACAAGGAGGTGGAAACAAAGACATATTAAAGAATTATTTATCTACACGGTGGTAAAGAATAGATATGGACTTGCATGTGCAGAATTAAATGTAGATATCCAGTTCTGTTTTCATTTAAGCCATCATTCAAATAGCAACACATGCATATGATAGATATCTCTCTGCTCTCTCTCCCTCCCTCTTTCTCTCCCTCATACATACAGAGAAATGAGAATAAATATTTTACAAAAATATTTTTAGAGAATCAAGGAAGAACAGTATATCAAAATATAATAAAAATACTAAATAAATACAAATGAATAGGATTTTCCAAATAGAATCTTTCTGATTCAATAAACAAACAAAGCCAATTAGTATGCTATCTAAAATAAATTTACCTAAAATACAATGATTTAAAATTTAACTGAAAAAGAAGAAATATATTTCTGGTAAAAAGTAACCAAAAAAGCACATTTATGAATATAAATACCTAAAAATAATAATTAATTTTTGTCAAGAAAACTACTAGAGAATGGTGATAGTAAAAACCACCACAATGATATAGAAATCATACATTTATAGAAACGTAAAGAAAAAAATAAAAGTTGCAATACCTGGAAAGAATTAAAGTTTTATAAACAAAAAAAATTCACAATTAGAAAAAGGATAATATTTTGGCAGTGCAATTAACAAACCTGGCTGGGCGTGGTGGTTCATACCTGTAAAAGTAGCACTTTGGGAGGCTGAGGAGGGCAGATCACTTGAAGTCAGGAGCTCGAGATCAGCCTGGCCAGTATAGTGAAACCCTATCTCTACTAAAAACACAAAAATTAGCTTGGCGTGGTAGCCGGAACCTGCAATTCCAGCTACTCAGGAGGCTGAGGCAGGAGAATCACTTGAACTCAGGAGGCAGCGGTTGCAGGGAGCTGAGATCGCACCAAACATACAAAAAGAGGCTATACACACATTCTAAAATTATTCAGAAAAGTTACCAAATTAAACATATATTAAGTTGTAAAAAATTATCAGCATTTGAAAAAGTGAAAGTGAGCAGCAAAATAAAGAAAGTGCAATAGAAAAGTATAAATCAGTAATGGGATGGCTAGGTCAAATGGTATTTCTAGTTCTAGATCCTTAAGGAATCGCCACACTGACTTCCACAATGGTTGAACTAGTTTACAGTCCCACCAACAGTGTAAAAGTGTTCCTATTTCTCCACATCCTCTCCAGCACCTGTTGATTCCTGACTTTTTGATGAAAGCCATTCTAACTGGTGTGAGATGGTATCTCATTGTGGTTTTGATTTGCATTTCTCTGATGACCAGTGATGAGCATTTTTTCATGTGTCTATTGGCTGCATAAATGTCTTCTTTTGAGAAGTGTCTGTTCATATCCTTTGCCCACTTTTTGATGGGGTTGTCTGATTTCTTCTTGTAAATTTGATTAAGTTCTTTGTAGATTCTGGATATTAGCCCTTTGTCAGATGGGTAGATTGTAAAATTTTTCTCCCATTCTGTAGGTTGTGTATTCACTCTGATGGTAGTTTCTTTTGCTGTGCAGAAGCTCTTTAGTTTAATTAGATCCCATTTGTCAATTTTGGCTTTTGTTGCCATTGCTTTTAGTGTTTTAGTCATGAAGTCCTTGCCCATGCCTATGGCCTGAATGGTATTATCTAGGTTTACTTCTAGGGTTTTTATGGTTTTAGGTCTAACATTTAAGTCTTTATTCCATCTTGAATTGATTTTTGTATAAGTTGTAAGGAAGGGATCCAGTTTCAGCTTTCTACATATGGCTAGCCAGTTTTCCTAGCACCATTTATTAAACAGGGAATCCTTTCCCCATTTGTTGTTTTTGTCAGGTTTGTCAAAGATCAGATGGTTGTAGATGTGTGGTATTATTTCTGAGGTCTCTGTTCTGTTCCATTGGTCTATATCTCTGTTTTGGTACCAGTACCACACTGTTTTGGTTACTGTAGCCTTGTAGTATAGTTGGAAGTCAGGTATTATGATGCCTCCAGTTTTGTTCTCTTGGCTTAGGATTGACTTGGCGATGCGGGCTCTTTTCTCGTTCCATATGAACTTAAGTAGTTTTTTCCAGTTCTGTGAAGAAAGTCATTGGTAGCTTGATGGGGATGGCATTGAATCTATAAATTACCTTGGGCATTATGGCCATTTTCGTGATATTGATTCTTCCTATCCATGAGCATGGAATGTTCTTTCATTTGTTTGTGCCCTCTTTTATTTCATTGAGCAGTGGTTTGCAAAGGATTATGAATCATGCTGCCATAAAGACACATGCACACATAAGTTTATTGTGGCACTATTCACAATAACAGAGACTTGGAACCAACCCAAATGTCCATCAATGATAGACTGGATTAAGAAAATGTGGCACATATACACCATGGAATACTATGCAGCCATACAAAAGGATGAGTTCATGTCCTTCATAGGGACATGGATGAAACTGGAAACCATCATTCTGAGCAAACTATCACAAGGACAGAAAACCAAACATTGCATGTTCTCACTCATAGGTGGGAATTAAACAATGAGAACACTTGGACACAGGGTGGGGAACATCACACACTGGGGCCTGTGGTGGGGTGGGGGGAAGGGGGGAGGGATAGCATTAAGAGATACATCTAATGTAAATGATGAGTAATGGGTGCAGCACACCAACATGGCATATGTATACATATGTAACCTTCACATTGTGCACATGTACCCTAGAACTTCAAGTATAATAATAAAAAAAAGAAAAAAAAGAAAAGTATAAATCAACAAGAAGAATGAGAAAATCCCTTACACATGTGGACTAAAAGATAAAAGCACTCTTAAAGAATACAGAGGATAAAGAGTAAGATAACATTATACCTTAAACTCCTATAACTAAATAGCAATAAAAATACTTCATATAAAAACAAGTGGCTTATAGTTAAAAAGCTAAGTAGAAATTAATTTACATATATTACTTAAACAATACATTAATTTTGCAACTTATCAAGGCAGAAAATGGACAAGATTAACCATAAAAATGTGAATACTGTAGAAGTAATAAATTGAAAAAAACACTTAATCTTACCATATCTTGTCATATCTTACCATAGATAAAATATTCAGAAAAACATAAAATATTATAAAGAAAATTTTGCTGATTAATATTTAAACTGTAGTTTTAGAAGTGGTTTGACCAAATTGTTAAGTAGTAGAATTTCTGTATCTCAAATATACTAGGCTGTGAGTGATACAAATTAAAAAGAAATATAGGGAGACTAATAAAATTGCAATAAAAATTCAAATTTACAAACAATATATACCTTTTTTAGAAAATTTAAACATCGACAAGTAAAAAAAAAAAATGTTTTGTACAGCCAAGTAAAAACTATGTTTTGTACAGGCAATTCATTTATGGGAAAATGAGTGTTGAATTTGTTTAAGAATAATAGTAATTATATAAATGCCAAGGAAGAAAAACAAGGAGATATCACTGTATATCATACACTCAGGAAACTAAGTTGCTAAGTGCTTTGGAAAGTAATTTATCAATATATGTTGAATTTCAGATGAGTGTTATAACAATTATAAATCTCTAACTATACCATAAACAAAACACAAAAATGTCAAATGTGCATAAGGAATATATACAAAGATTTCATTAAATATATATTTAACAATGACATAAAGTTTGGAAACATGGTAGTGTACACCAAGAGGAAAATATGAAACCTATACAAAAATCAAGGTTTCCGTACAACAGTATACTATATCATAACTAAAATAACAAATTGAATTATAGGAATAAGTATAACAAAATCTCTAAAACCTAATGTTGAATAAAAAAACAAGTTGTAACATGAGTCTGCTACAAAAAATTATGTAAAATTCAGAGATTCACAATAAACTAGATATTTCATATGAATACAATTGTGTAATTAAAGTTCTGAGTATATTCCCAAAGGATTATAAATCATTCTACTATAAAGACACATGCACACGTATGTTTATTGCAGCACTATTCGCAATAGCAAAGACTTTGAACCAACCCAAATGCCCATTAATAAATGATAGACTGGAGAAAGAAAATGTGGCACATATACACTGTGGAATACTATGCAGCCATAAAAAATGATGATTTCATGTCCTTTGCGGGGACATGGATGAAGCTGGAAACCATCATTCTTAGCAGACTAACACAGGAATAGAAAATCAAACACCGCATGTTTTCACTCACAAGTGGGAGTTGCACAATGAGAACACATGGACACACGGAGGGGAACATCACACACGGGAGCTTTTCAAGGGGTGGGGGGCTAGTGGAGGGATAGCATTAGGGGAAATACCTAATGTAGATGATGGGTTGATAGGTGCATCATGGCACATGTATACCTGTATAACAAACCTGCATGTTCTGCACATGTATCCCAGAACTTAAGGTATAATTAAAACAAAACAAAACAAAACAAAAACTTCAAACTCTGTGTTAAAACGTACATGACAGCAAAAAATGTGCCAGGGGAGAACTCCTCCTTCGACCTCATCTGTGGAAAATAAAAGAGACAGTTTTACTTCATAAAATTCACTAGCGTTACAATATGCAGGAGTTGACAGATAATTCTAAACTGTAATTTAATTTCATTTATAAAATAATGTAAAGGGCAAGAGCATTGTATGTAAGAGAACATGTTATTGAAAATGTATTCTTCATGTACATGATAATTTATATTGTTTGCTTTTATTTGAGGATATTTTATTTCTATAAGTTTTCTTGTGGTTATCATTTCCTTTGTATATTCTTGAACTTTTTATTGATTTATAGATCACATGTAGGATTGTGTACCATTCATTAGTATAGCGCTCAATGAATTTTCACTAATTGAGCTAATTCATATTTTAAAAATCCAGATCAAGAAGTAGAATATTAACTTCAACCAGAATATCCCTTTGAATCATTTTCACTCCTCCCTTCGGGGTTATATGCATTTTGAACAATCTAAATTAGCTCAGCTTATTTTTGAACATATAAAAATATAATTCTATGATCTATACCAATTTATATTCAACTTTCACCCAAAATAGCTTGTGCAAGAAATTTCTCTATAATTTAATTTAGTTGTAGTTTATTTATTCTTATTGTTTCTTATTGTAGAAACATACTGCAATATCTTTATCTGTTCTACTGTTGAAAAATATTTGCATCATTTCCAGTTTGTGTCTATTATGAATAGTGATATTATCAATATTCATTCAGTGAAGGTATGGAGCATTTTTATTGAAATCTTCACTGGTAGTTTTAAAATATCATATTAAAAAAACTTACCCTAGTCTTTTCTTGTGAAAGATGAGGGTTTGTATTATCTTCAGCTGGTACATGAAGAACCTAAGTATAAAGAGTATTAACTAAGAAACATGGAAATTATACAAAAAAAAGAAAAAGGAGCAGGGTCACTGTACCTTCAGTTTCCAGGGATTACAGATATATATTAAGACTTCAGAGTACTCTAGAAGGACATAGAGTGATTGCAAATGGAAAGTTACAGTTTGACTGATATGGAGGGCAGAATTCCAGATGGCCCCCGGGATTTCCACCACCTGTATAATTCCCTCCCTTTGACTGAGGGTTTGATCTGTGACTATAATGGGTAGTATTACGGAGATGGTATCACTTTATATGGCAAAGGAGAGGAAATTTTTTACAGGTGCAAGTAAAGGCTCTTATTACTTCACTTTGAATTAGTCAAGATTGACCTTTTTGAACAGGACTAATCCAACAATTTGAGCCCTAGAAAACAGGACTAAGAGAGAGACATTTTTGCTGTTGGGAACTTTCAACGGAGAAAGAGAGCCTCTACAAGATAAGAATCTCAAAAATCCCACCACGAGAAACTAAATTCCACCGACAATCTAAAGAAACTTGAACGAGGGCCCTTAGCTTCAAGTGAAAATGAAGACTTTGTAGGCATCTTGGATTGCAACCCTTGGAAAGACTGAACCGATGTTCCAGCTAAGCCATGCCTTGACTCTCAGCACGTGGAACTGTGAGATAATGAATGAGTGTTTTATTAAGAAACTATCTTTGTCATAACTTGTCAAATAGAATTAAAAAAAAAAACTAATGGATGTTGATACAAGAAATGGAGCAGTGCTGCAACTAACATCTCAAATGTGGGAGAAACTTTGGAACCAGGTGATGGAATCAGACAGAATTTGAGGAAGTATGATGGAGAAAGTATAAATTAATTTGACAGACTGATGACAGACAACAGGATATTGAATATACTGACGACTCAGAAGAAAGTAAGGAGAATCCCACTGAGGAATTAGAGGAGGTCAGATCCTTGGTATGCAGAGGCTTAAAACTAACAAAAGTATGTCCTGAAGTTATATGGAAAGAGAAGCTTATAAGAAAAATCTATAGGTATAGCTTGGAGATTTTCAGGCAAAGTGTCGAAGGTACTATCTGTTTTTTTCTTACTATTTACCATAAAATGTGAGAGAATAGAGAAAAAGTGAGGAAATAATTGCTAACCATAAAGAAAATAGGACTGAATGATTTTTAAAATTTTCAGCCCATCAAAAAGGCAAAAGATGCTAAAATTGGGAAATGACTGGTGAAAGTGTGGTATAGAGAACTGGGTGTGTGGCTATACAACCTTTTGCTGAAACTTCAGAAAGATCAAAAGGTCGGAGCCCACAATGACACAAAGAGTCCGTAGAAGAGATTAAGGGTGTAAATCACAGAACCTTTCAAATAAGCAAGAGGGTCTCCAGGAAGCTTAGAAATATTGTCTCTCATTCATCTCAGCAGGAGCCAAAGATAGAGAAAAGATTATCTCCAAAAGATTTGTGATTGTGGTGTTTGTCTAATGAATTAAATCCCCTTGAAAGCCATGAAGGTTCACAGAGTCCTTGAGAAAATTGTTTCCACAGAACTAGTGGCAGCTGGGAGTAAAAGGGACAGAGATAGTGTGTAATGAAATAAAGCTGTCAGTCTCACAGAATTATTTTGGCAGGTAGAAACCTGATAAAAGTGCTTAACTGAAAACACATATTACCTTTCATGAAAAGAAAAAGGAGCAATGATTCAGAAGATGGAACCAAGATCCCAGAGGTGAAGTCAGGAACTGTGAAGGATTATTCCCAGACCTTAAAAGCTAATCAAGGACAATCCAACACTTGTCTTGGTGGATTTCAGAAGTCTTAGGATCAAGTGATTTATTTTTTCCTTTCATTTTCTCTCTTTTTGAATCAAATGTTTCTAATCGTTATCTTCTGCTTGTCTTATCACTGTATGCTGTAAATTATAGGGGCCTTTGGGTTTGTCCACAGATGGATTTAGATAATGAGATTTTGGACTTTGAGTTGATTCTATAATGGGATGAGACTCTGGGACATGTTTTGGTGGGAGAAAATGTATTTTGAAAATGGGAGAGAACTAAATTATCAGTGCTAGAAAATAGACTGAAGTAGTCGGAATTCTAAAATGGCCCTCACGTTACCTATTCCTTTGTACTTGTATAATACTCAGCCTTGATTGTGGGTGGGAATTGTTATATTTAGAAAGAGTTTTTAAAAACCCTCTAATAACTTGACATTGAGTTAATCAAAAGGGAAATTAACCTGGGTATACCTGACCTAACTATGTGAATCCCTAAAAGGGAACTTAGAAGTCAGGGAGACGCTACTGTTGGCCTTATGGTAGCGAATGGCCATGCCTTTAGAAGCTGAGCTCCTCAGTCCTGTAACCACAAGGAGCTCCCGAAGCTCTAGATAAAAAGCAGCCTGGACAATACCTTGTTTGTAGGACTCACAGAATTTGAGCAGAGGATCCAGCTAAGGTGTCCCTGGACTCCTGACCCACACAGGGACAATTAATATGTTCTTTAAAAAAAAAGAAAAGAAAAGAAAACGTGATGTTTGCAATAGTTTTGTACACTGCAATAGAAACCTATTAAAATTTAGAACTGAAAGAAAAGTAAGATTAAGAATTATTTATAGGAAGACAGGGAAAGAGAACTTTCTAGGCAAGGAAAATATCATGTACTTAATCTAACATGTAGGAAACAGAAAGATGATATATAAACTAAAATTATTTCAGTGTGACTGGGACAAAACTTATAAAGCCATGTTAGCAATATTGCCAATGTTTTGGACATTAGGCCAAAATATTTTTATTTACTAACACTTGTTTAATTTTTAAAATACCATCATCAAATGGGTTTTATGATAATCCTCATTTTAAACATGAAGAAATTGAGGTAGAGAGAAGTTTTATGTAATTTGCCCGAAGTCACACAGCTAATAATTGGTACAAGCAGGATTAAAATTCAGGGAGTCTATACCCAGAAAGCTATGAAGCTCTCACTATAGTTAAAGATTAATTTCCAGAGAAGAAACAGAAAGTTTCCAACAGTGATTCATTTTTTAAAAAATGATTTATCTTGTTACTCTTTATACCAGGATCTTATATAAGAAGCAGCTCCCAAAGTTGAAAAAAAAGGATAGAGTGAAAAATTTTACAGTTAGATAATTTAAATATTATAATTATTTCAGGTACTAGTAAAAAGGAAAGTGAAGCCTTCTGAGCAAAGTCAACAATTTATAAAAACAATGCATGCTTTCAGAAAGTGTAAAAGAATTAGAAGATGGGAGACGAAAGGAAAATAAGGAGACAGTAAATACACTTCCATGACTTGCTTAGGAGCCTTATGTTATTTTGCATTATGAAAATATTTTTAACTTAATACTCAATGAGGCTACATATCATTACTAACGCTTGAATAAAATACAGGTTTTCAGTTATAAATATGAGGTATACAGGGTCACAAGGATTTTTAAGAAGTTATTATGAGGCTGGGCACAGTGGCCCACGCCTGTAATCCCAACACTTTGGGAGGCCAAGGTCAGGCGTTCGAGACCAGCCTTGGCAACACAGTGAAACCCTGTCTCTAACTAAAAATACAAAAATTAGCCGGGCATTGTGGTGCTTGCATGTAATTCCAGCTACTTGGGAGGAGATCGAGGCAGGAGAATCACTTAAACCCGGGAGGCAGAGGCTGTGGTGAGCCGAGATTGTGCCGCTACACTCCAGCCTGGACGACAGAGCGAGACTCCATCTCAAAACAAAACAAAACCAAAAAACAAAAAATCCCCACCAAAAACAAACTAACAAACAAGCAAAAAACAAAAGAAGTTATTATGTAATTCTATGCCTTATAAGATAAATAAAAACAAATGAAAGCTTGTTGAAATCTTCTAAATGTTGATCAACCAGAATGTGTTTGTGAGTTACAGTGCAAACCAGAAAGTTTTAAAAACATGTTCACAATATTTTATAAATAATATATTCCAAGGTTTGGAAAATCAACAGATCATATTATTGTATACAGTACCGCATCTTAACTCACAACAATTCTGAATTCAGGTACAAAAGTTATTTTAAAAACAGTCCCAGTTATGGTTCACTTTAGGACACACGGACCTGCACTTCTCTTCCTGTGTTAAAGCCCCTGGGTAGAACTGCAATTCAAAACAGTGTAAACTGGCTGGGCTGGTGGTAAATATTTGTCTTCTTTCCTAAGTGTTGTCAGTCATGCAGTAGCTTGGCTTCTGATATGAGATATGCAAATAGGTTGGGACACGTCAACCGCTTAGAACATTTAGCATGCAGTAATCTTGTCACTAAAGTAAAAGCTATGACTGTTACTCAATGTCAGGCTTTTTTTATTTGGTCCATGATTGTTCAGTATTTAATTACATATCAACTTATCATTTCTCTCCCTCTCTCTCTCTCTCTGTCATTTGTTTCATATACACTGATCAATCATTGATTTTCTAATAGAAGTACTCTTTAAAAAAAAAAAAAAATCACATAGCGGCCGGGCGCAGTGGCTCACGCCTTTAATCCTAGCACTTTGGGAGGCCGAGGCGGGCGGATCACGAGGTCAGGAGATCGAGACCATCCTGGCTAACACGGTGAAACCCCGTCTCTACTAAAAATACAAAAAAATTAGCCGGGAGTAATGGCAGCTGTAGTCCCAGCTCCTCAGGAGGCTGAGGCAGGAGAATGGCGTGAACCCGGGAGGCGGAGCTTGCAGTGATCCGAGATCGCGCCGCCGCACTCCAGCCTGGGCGACAGAGGGAGACTCCGTCTCAAAAAAAAAAAAAAAAAAAAAAAAAAAAAAAATCACATCACATAGCTTTGTTGTTTTTACGCAAATTCTTTCTTCTGTCATTCACATAGTTAATGTATGCAACGTATTTGCGTATTACCATGCATTCTCATGGAATCATAGTTTTCTTTCAAGCTTTCAGAGCCTCCATACATTTATTCCTTATATAATGGCCACAACCTTTAGCTATACTTAGAGACTGGATGTTCCCTCAATGCCTTAATTATTTTCATTATGATTTTTTATTTGGCAGGAATGCCCTAGCCAATTGTCGAAAAGAACATGTTCTCATATTTTTATTTGAATGTCCCCAGTTGTGTAATTTCAGTAGCTTCAAAAACCTTTTGCTATTATTTGACAAATATTATTGATTATAAAGTTAGAGTCACAAAAATGGAAATATTCTATAACTCCTGCTCCTTATCAGAGAAGAGCAGGTCCAATATTACTTTCAATTCTTCCACAGCTTTTGTCTACGTGATTGCTTTTCCTCTTATTATAAGGATTCCTGTCAAACAGCAAATTATTGCATACACTTCTATAACTACAGCAGTGCAAATTTTAAAGTGAATTATTTCCAGTTGCACAACTGTGACTGTCATCATATAGGATATTCTAAAGATACCACATCAGTAGGTAGTTCTTTTCACATGATATCTGCAGTAAGGTGGAAAGAGACTCTCAAGCATTTGTAGGTTAGGTGAGGGGTCACTGCCTCCTTGGTGTTCTGCTACCCATGGCAGCCCATAGGCACATAGTTTCTTCAAAAATCACAAGTAATCAGGAATAAGTCAGGACCAAATTTCCACCTAAAAGTACTATCTGCAGCATGAAAATAATTAATATTTTGTATCTGTGACTTAGAACTCTATTGCACTATCTCTATGGAATACTAAATTATTTATGGCTTTTATAAGTGACATCAATTTTGATGTATATCACAGTAGGTGCTTGGTTTAAATATGCATTTAGACAACCACTGTGATTCACATGATGAAAAACAATATGCAAATTACAGTATCAGTATAACAAATCAAAATGTTCACCAAGATCAAATTCATTATTCAGTAAGAGTTTATTTTAATTTTGTAAGGAACTATAGTAAAATGTAATAATAATATCTTACTAATAGGGAGAGAACATAATTATGTAAAACTGGAATACATTCTAAAAGCAGAGCTCTATGTCTTCAGTGAAGTATAAGACTACCTTTGAATGTTAGTGTCCTCATCTGGAAATGGAATTTGTAATACCTACCTCTGAGAGTTCTTGTGAGGGTTGAATGAGTTAATATGTATAATTTCATCAGTTACTGCTTAACTCACGGTAGAGTCCCATGAGTTTATGGAGTACATGGGTTTTACATTTCAATAACTCTTATTTGCTTTCCTTTTATATTGCGTTATGGACTTGCATCACTACAGTGAATACTCACAAAGTGGTCTATGAACATTAGCTTCAATCAGAAGCTTGTTAGAAATTCAGAATTTGGGGTATAACCCCAGACTTACTGTTTCAGGATTTGAATATTGATAATAAGTCAGGTGATTCTTATACAGATTGAAGTTTGTGAAGCGCTGATATATGTACTATTTCCGATTATTTTTACTAAACTTTTTATAAGATCTATAAATCTAGATCTTACAGCTAGATCTAAATCATTCCATTATTAATATGTATTAGTTGACTTTGGCTTCCTGATAAATCTTTTTTATTTGAATCATTTAAGAAATAAAATTTTAAACAAAATTTATTTCAAAATGAAGTGAATTACTGTGCAAAAATATAGAATACAATATAAAAAAGAAAATGAAGGCAAAGAAGAGGGAGGAAGAAATGGAGAGAAGGGGGATCAAATGGCATTCGAAGGTTTATCAATTGTTCTTAAAGGTTCATCAATTGCTGAAATATCTGTCAAAGCTAAATAGCATCTTTTATTTCTTAGCAATTTGATTTGTATTTGCAGCCTACATTTTGACCAGATGCGAAGGAAAAAGTGCAGTGAATGAGTTCAATCTTTGATTGATGTTCACTGCAAGAGTAGAGCTGTAGAGGCTATTACAAAGCACTATCCAGCACTTTGTAGCTTAAAAAAATGAAACAAGAGGCCGGGTGTAGTGGCTCACTCCTGTAATCCCAGCACTTTGGGAGGCATGGCAGACAGATCACGAGGTCAGGAGTTTGAGACTAGCCTGGCCAACATGGTGAAACTCGTCTCTACTAAAAATGCAAAAAATTAGCTGAGCGTGGTGGTAGGTGCCTGTAACCCCAGCTACTCAGGAGGCTGAGGCAGAAGAATCACTTGAACCCAGGTGGCAAAGGTTGCAGTGAGCTGAGATCATGCCATTGCACTTCAGCCTGGGCAACAAAGCAAGACTCCATCTTGAAAAAAAAAAAAAGAAACAAGAAAATATGAATTATTACAGACTTTCATAGAGCAAAGTGCACTAGAGTACAACGTAAGAAAACCATGTTTCAATGACTTTCACTCTACAGAAAGAGATTTAGACTGTGATGTATATGAAATAAAATGTCTTTAGATATACTCACCTCACAAAGTCAGCCATACATTGCCATGAGAAGAGGTCAAGAGAGGGATCAAGGATTATCGGCAACTCAGGTGGTTTGGTAGATGCCTAGGTATTGGAATACAGTATGCCTGCAAGAAGTATTTGTGGGTTTTCTCGAAAAGAATTTATAACAACAATGTCAATGCAATCTTCCATGTGTTTCTTAAATAATTTGATTTTGATGATTCTGACTTAGATTGGCATTTCACCTGTCAACATTATTTGACTCTCTTTCATATAAAAAAATTATATCTCATACACCGTCTTCCCGCCCATCTGTAGTAATACATATATGTGCAATTTTTCCAGTAAAAAAAAGTGTATATTGAATATGTTTTTAAATACTTTTTCAATAAAATATTTTATTGAGTTCCTTGGTAAGTAAGAAGAACCATGAGTCTTTAACAGGATTCTGAACACAATATTTTATTTAGAATTATAAATTATATTACCTATAATAATTACTATGCAGAAATATTAGTAATTTTTAATCATGTATTTTTCAGTTAAAAATGCATGAGGAATATAATACTTAAGAGACTTATTCATAGTAAAATAGTTTTCAGTGAATACTTTGGAAAAAATAGTCTATGCTTGGGGACTAGATTCAAGCTTCTAATGAATGTAGTCTTAATAAAATTGGTACTTCACCATATTCAGCTGAATGCATTTTTAGTAAAAAATGTTTAATTAAATTTATAATTATTAGTATGTCATAAATTTTATGATTAGGGGAGTGATTTACAATTTAATAAATAAATTCCAAATACCTTAAAATGTTGAAACAAGAGTGAAAACACTCCAGCATTTATAATGCTAATACATCTTGAAACTTCTTAGGCAATTAATGCCAATGTCTATTCTCTTTCAGCATTCTTTCTTAGTAGACACCATCCATAATCATAGATGACTCAAGATTGTATACACTTTTTCTGACTTCTCTAAGCAATCACCTTATACATTTAATAACTTAGTATTTTCAATTGCATAAGTCAAAACTACCTTAAAGTAGACAAACTGTGACAAAGCAGAACTCATGTACTCCTTCATAAAAATTATCCTCAGTGATAAAATAAATTAAATCTACTCATTCCAAATAAGTCAGAATCATTCTTAATATTTCCTTTTTTAATACCAGAATATATCTCACCAATTGCTTTCACTTTTACCCATATCTTCTCTGTGTCTTTCTTCACAACCATCTACCTAGACAAAGTTACCATAAACTCTTGCCTGACTTCTGCAATAGTTTTGTATTATCTCTCCCCAGTCGTCTTTCTTTAAATAGTTTATATGTTTCAGGCAGAATAATTTTACGAACTGCAAACCTGATGATGATCTTTATCCCTTCGCAAAGCTTAAAAAATTAAATGGCCAAGATCTTTCACATGACCAATAAGAGTCACATGCATCATTCTATCTGCATCCTGAGTCTTAAAGCTTGTCTAAAAGCATCTATCATTCAGGGTTCAACAGAAAAGGGGAATCAGTATTCATTTAAGAAATTTGTAATTAGGAAATGGTTTATACAGTTCTGAGACTGGTTAAGATGTCTCCAAAGTTGTTTTTATCTGATGCTGGATAGTAATGTCCATAGTGCTGCAGGAAAGATCACGAGCAGGTTGTAACTCAAAAGCATAAACTGAAAACAGTCAGCCCATGTTGCCTCTGACCTGAAGGATGAGAGTATCCTGCAAAAGCCAAGCATTTGTTAGGAAACTGGCCACACATACTGGCCTAGAAGTCAGAGAGGATGATGAAGATCCCAGCAGAAGTTAGAGTAATTGCAAAAGATGGAGGATCCAGCAGAAGGTAGCCCAGATACTTCTTTATTCCAGTGAAGTAAGTCAGCAGGTCAGCAATTATATGTGTGAGCTGTAAAACAGTTGCTGTTTTCTTTTTACTCTCCAAATTGCACAGAACTTCCCCTACCATAGTGTGAAACATATATGAAATAGAAATGTGAAAAATAGTTTAACTAATTACAAAACCATCAAAGTTATGGTCCACAATTATTTTTCTCTTATTCCTTTGCACATAAATTATATGTACCTATCTCAAGAACACAAGTTATTTTACAAGTTTTTTAATTTTGTCTGAAACAATCTCATCCACAACCATACCTTTATTTACTTTAGTCGCTTTCTTTTGTTTCTATAATACTTCTATACCACTCCTAACTTAGATTTTAGGTATAAAACAGACTACCTCATTGCCAATCAGTAAGTCTCAAAGCAACATTAAGAATCAATTAGAGGATTCCTGGCAACAGAGGGCTAAACACTGATTGATCTAATGTGGTTGATATTCATTGTCAGTGACATTTTTGTACACAGTATATTCAGGCTTCCAGTTTTTTTTTTTTTTAATCCTTGAAAGGAATAACTTTCAATCAGTTGATATGACATTTACTAAAATATGACACTTCTGTATTTTTTTTGTTTTGAATTATAGTGCTTTGTATTTAAGATATGTCATGTGTCAATTTTTCTCATTTGATTTGGCAAGTGTAATATTTTTGGAGCCAGTTGGTAAAATCAGCATAGCAGAATAGGTAAGAACACAGATTTTGCTGTTAGAAAAGCTACTTTATGCTGGATTTTTAAAAACTAGAATTTTGGGTTACTATATTGTGTCTGTAAAATGACATATTCAGAATCATGACAGGTTCAATGAATAGAGAAAATATCACTGTTTGAATGTCTTGTGGTTTATTTCACTAACTTGTTGGTGAGTGATTTCTACTTTCACTATCTTCAGTTACCACCAGTTGTCATAAAAGTTATCGTGCCATGAACTCCAAAGAAGATTAAAATTCATGCTAAAAATAAAATGAAAAGCCTGCCCAGTGTTAAGCAATCACCCCTTTTTATAATTTGTGGTTGCCAAGTTTCGGACAATATCAAGAATAGGTCTAGTAGCTTATGGGGAAAAATATGAAAGAGCCATTACAGACTACTATATTTCTCTGAAAAAGGAAGTAAAATCACATTCGTTCAAAAAAAAAAAAACACACACACACACAAAAGTGAGTCTGAGTTATTAAAAATAGACACTAAATTACCAGCCTATTCTGCTGGAACTTCTCCTTCTAATTTCAATAGACATTTCTGAGTAGGTCCCAGCAAGAGTTGCTTTACTGTATTTTCTACTAGAATGACTTCTTCAATAAAAGATGTAAGTGAAACAGAAACAACTTTTCTAAAGAATGAATAATGTTTTCCTTAACTGAGCTACTTAATAAAGTGGAAGGAGTCATTCAAAATAGAGAATAATTAAGACTAACACACATGTCATCCAAATTAAGAGATTGGTAAAAGGTCAAATAAAATTTAAGCTGCAGCAGATTATGTTTATGTGTATTATAATTATTGCCTTATTTATGCAAATTTGGTTTGTGTACCCCAAATGTTTCCCTAAATGTACCCCTAAATGTTCATATTACTATCTATATAGCAGGCAATAAGTACACTGAGGGAATATACATCCTAAAGTCTTGGTTGGCTCTTTAGAAATGACAACTATTACCTTAAGTAAAAGAAGACACATTTATTCAACAAATATTTTTATTTGTGCCCTCTATGTGCCAGGCACTATTCCAGAACTTGGGTTATGTGATTTAACGAAAATAGATAAAGGCACCTGACCTCTTAGAGTTTAAATTCCAGCAGGAAGTAAAAAAGATAAGCAATAAATATCCCATAAAAGTATACAAGATAGAATGTGACAAGTGGTATAAAAAATGAAAATGCACAGCAGTGTAGGGGGAATCCAGAGGGGAGGCAACAAAAGATTACATATGAAAATTCTAAATGCAGGTTCAGTGATGACTTCCTTAATATTATCTGAGAAAAAAAATTGGAAGAAAATTCAAGAGTAAGCTAGGTAGATTGCTATATAAATAGCATTTCAAGCAGAAAGAAAGCCTAGTAAATAATTTTAAAAAGCAAGTTTGAAATTTGTTATATGCAATGGCTAAGTTCCTTATTATTATGATTGTTATAAATACTTAAAATAATGAATAAATACAATAAACCAGTGATCATAGTATGTGTGAATTTAACATCTATGAAAATATCAGATTTTTCATAATTAAAAAATACAAATTGTAAGCTAAAATTCATATATTTTATTTATTCATTCTTCAGAGCAAGAGTAGTTTATAGTATTTCTAAGAATTTAAGAAATTGGTGCAATTTGAAAAAGTCCTTTAAAGGAAAATTAGATAACATGTTACAGTGTTAAAAGTTATAATGTTAGCCTAGCGTGGTGGCCCACGCCTGTAATCCCAGCACTTTGGGAGGCCAAGGGGGGCAGATCATGAGGTCAGGAGTTTGAAACTAGCCTGGCCAACATAGTGAAACCCCGTCTCTACTAAAAATAGAAAAATTATCCGGGTGTAGTGGCACGCGCCTGTAGTCCCAGCTACTGGGGAGGCTGAGGTGGGAGAATCACTTGAACCCGGGAGACACAGGTTGCAGTGAGCTGAGATCACACCATTGCACTCCAGCCTGGAAGTGCAGACTGAGACTCCGTCTCAGAAAAAAAAAAAAAAAGTTATACTGTTAAAATAAAACTAGCAATTTCTCTTTTAGAAAAAGTACAAATAGGCTGGGCCCGGTGGCTCACGTCTGTAACCCCAGCAATACGGGAGGCTGGGCGGGTGGATCACTTGAGGTCAGGAGTTTGAGACCAGCCTGGTCAATATGGTGAAACCTGGTCTCTACTAAAATTTCAAAAATTAGCCAGGGATGGTAGGCACCTGTAATCCCAGCTACTCAGGAGGCTGGGGCAGGAGAATCGCTTGAACCCGTGAGGCAGAGGATTCAGTGAGCCAAGATCGTGCCATTGTACTTCAGCCTGGGTGTCGCAGTGAGTGAGACTCCGTTTCAAAAAAAAAAAAGGAAAACAAAGAAAAAGTGCCAATATATACAAGATATTAAAAAATATTGACATTGCATTTTTGACAATAACTGGAATAGAAATCACTTAAATATTCACCAATAGATAGTTGAATTCACATAGCAAATGAATGTACAAATGTCAACAGTATTGAATATGTAATTAAATATGTTCTAATAATGTCTAATATGAAGTGATAATTAAAAATAAACCACAACAAATACTGTTCACCAGTTTTCATTTGTATAAAATATGCACAGTTTTTACATCTATATTTAATTTAATGTTTCATATTTATATTTTATATCTATATGTTATTTATCTAGATTTTAGTATTTTAACATCTATATTAAATATATATTTCAATTATTCAAATATTTATGTCTATACTTTTGTTCGTATTTAATTATCATTTAGTGTGAAATAATACTCAAGGGTGAAAAAAAATCAAGAACAAAAACAAAGACATACACCAGTTGAAAAGTTTGAGGAGTCCTTATATAATATTTATACATTTATATTATTACATATATGCATATAAACCATCAAAAGAAAAAAGTGAAATTGTGAAAAGTGGCTTTTTACAGGGATGAAAAATTAACATTAGGGGTTAGAATAATATTAGATATGAATTGCGTAACTACTTGGTCTTTTAAAAAATTTGACTCATTTTTTAAAGAATAAAGTATACATTTAAATGTAGGAGTAAGCAAGTTTGAAAAAGCTAATATTGAGCATGGTGATTGTATAGGCATACACTTTTTGTTTTGTTTTGTTTTTCTTTAAGTCAATTAATTAACTGGCATTTCCAAGAGATATCCCAAGTGCCTTAGAAAAAAAAATTTAAAAACCTCATATAAGAAGAAAGTATATAGTCTTTGTATTTTAAAAGGTGTGGGGAAAAGCTTCATTCTTACTTCGTGGTGATTTGCATGGTATTCAGTATTCATAATTCCAAGTTCAGTGTTTGCTTATGTAATTGTAAAAAAATTATTGTGACCCATGGAAATGCCTGCGTTATCATTCATTACTTAGGACTATTTTGATAGGTATAGGAATTACTGCAGTGGGATTTTGCAGTAAGAGAGAGTGATTGTGGTCAACTCTGAATACAATAAGGTACGGAATTTATAGCTAATGAATAGGGTAGAGGTCAGTGGATGAAAAAATACTAAGAGGACAATCAGGAGTAAGAGAGGGTACTGGCTAAACCTACTTGACAGGATTCTTGCTGAAGGCTGGCCATGGCAATTAGATATCAACTGGGGGTTGGTGAGGGATGAGAAATTTGTTCAGATATTGAAGGTGATCAGATAGATACCAAGGGTGGGAGATTCTGGCTGGCTATACTGACTTCACGGTATGCTTGATAAAAATGGATAATACAGAGATGAATGAAGAAGACCAAAGCTCAGGCCTAGGTGAGCTGAGGTTTCAGAGGAGCTTAACTAAAATTTGATAAAGGAGAGAATCGTTGTCAGTTTACAGAATATTTTTATGGGAGGCCCAGTTTCTAATCTGATAAAGAACATATAAAAATAGTATGATGCAAACGGATCAATTTCCTAACTTTTACCTATTTATTTATCCTTGACAAAAATCAAGCAGAAAATGAAACAAAACAAAACAAAAGTCTACTGGTTCTGTAACATCCTTATGGATAGAGTTCTTCAGCATTTTAATCTCTCATTTTGCCATTTCACACTGGAAACAGAAAACATGGTTTCAGTTTTACATTTATTTTTAATGTGGTTTCCATTTCTACTTCTTGTTTTCTCTCAGTGTAAGCATTCTGTTTTTCTCTATTAAATAAATTTGATGACCTATTGAAAAGACGGCTTTTTTAACAAAATTCGATCAGTGATATGTTACATATATCTTTAAAGAAATGAAAGAATAAGACATATAAAAATCTAACTTGAGGAATACTCCTCCCCACCCCCACCACCACAAGTAGAAAATTAAAATTCCTGGTACTGAAGATTATATGAAAAAAGAGAACAGAAAGTTGATACAAAATTGTGGAAACCACTGCTCCCCTCTGTTTCTTCTACATTAAGGCTTTGGATGAGAGTTTGGTAAACCCTGGATATGTTTTGACTCTCTAGAATTTCTCTGCTCTCCTCTAAATTGCAACCTTCCTTCCTTACCTTCTCTCACTTTTTCTTTTCTTTTTCTTGATATATACTTGGGAAAGGTGGAACTGTTTATACTGCAACTAAATGAAAACCTACCTAAAATAGACTTAAAAAGACAGAAACAAATTGGCTTATGCAAATTAAAAACTGAAAAGCTCAGAGGTAATGCAGGCTTCAAGCAAGCCATATTTCACTACTTTAGCACTATCACCAAGGCCAGATTTCCTTCTGCTTTTGCCAGATCAGTTCCAAAAAAGTCTGACCCTTTTCCTGGTTTCAAAGTGAAGTATTCAATAAGTCCTGGACACGTGTCCCCATTCATATCCAGAAATATAGAGAACATATTCTGGATATTTTCTGTTTGGGGAACCATGTCAGCTCTCTCCATTTTTTCTGATTGTCTCAAATAGCGTCACCTATTCATACCTGATCCAATACTGATGAGCGATATTATAGCATGTATTGATTCATTTAAAACCAACAAAAGACCACCTCCAGATGCTAGGAGTGAAAACAATTTCTTTTATGAAAAGCAGTGAAGTACAAATTGAGTGTCAGTTACCAAAATGTGAGGGAATGGATCTTTAACAGTCTCTCACTGTGGTTGCCCAACTCCAGAATATACACAACTTTCCCAAATTTTCAAAATTTATACATTTACTTAGAATACAGTTAATCTGATTTCAGTTAACTCTCTTCCAGTTACTATATCCAATTCCAAGCCTCACTTCTCTCAGCTATTATTATTTCCTTCTGGTTTTATTTTGCTCCTATATTGAGAATGTACAATAAATAATGAACGAAAATAACAGATAAAAAATTAGTTAAATACATATGCATATGATTACATGGATAGGGTAGGGAGTCTGGGTATAGGATATGTTCTTTATGTTAGCAATTGGATCCAAAGCCAAACTTGTATATTGCCTCCTCTTATAACCATTCCAAGTTTTCCCTTGATTTCAAGTAACTCTTTACACAGTAATTTACCACTGGGGTGATCCTAATCTTATTGAGGAATATGAGCTTATTCTGCTAATACAGAAATGCACTTGTCTTCCATTGAATTAAAACACTGTACATATTCACCAAGGAAGCCTTCTCAAGAAACCTCTCAGCTTCCATTTATATTGCACCATGAACTGATTGTGTAGCTGCAAAGTCACTTATTATCATAAAAATCTGTAACACACTACAAAGTCACAAGTCACTATTTGTTCAACTTTTATTTTAGATACATAGGGTACATGTGCAGGTTTGTTACATGCATATATTACACTCAGGCGGTGAGCACAGTACCCAATAGGTAGCTTTTTGATGCATCCCTGCTCCTTCCATCTATCTAATGGAATAAAATCTAACTTAAGGAATACTCTTCCCTCCCACTACCATCTAGCAGTCCACAGTGTCTATTATTTCCATTTTTATGTCCATGGGTGATCGATGTTTAGCATCCAATTTTAAGAAAGAACATGTGGTATTGGTTTTTCTGTTTCTGCATTAATTCACTTAGAGTTATGGTCTCAAGCTACTTCCATATTGCTGCAAAGGACATTATTTCATTTTTTTATGGCTGTGTAATATTCTGTGAGATATATATATATCTCACAGAATATATATATAATATATATATATATATATTATATATATATAAATTTTCTTTGTCCAATCCACCATTGATAGGCATCAAGGATGATTCTGTGTCTCTGCTATTGTGAATGGCATGACATGAATACATGAGTGCGTGTGTCTTTTCCTTATAATTATATTTTTTCCTTTGGGTATATACCCAGTAATGGGATTGCTGGGTTGAACGGTAGCTCAGTTTTAAGGTCTTTGAGAAATTTCCAAACCGCTTTTCACAATGGCTGAACTAGTTTACGTTCCCACCAAGAGTGTATAAGCTTTCCCTTTTCTCTGCAGCCTCAACAGCATCTATTGTATTTTGACTTTTTAATAACAGCCAATTTGACTTGTGTGAGAGGGTATCTCACTATAGTTTTGATTTGCATTTCTTTGATGATTAGTGATAATGAGCATTTTTTCAAATGCTCGTTGGCTCTGTGTATTTCTTATTTTAAGAAGTGACTGTTAATGTCCTTTGCCCATTTTTTAAGGGTGTGTTTTTTGCTTATTTATTTAAGTTCCTCATAGGTTTTTGGATATTAGACCATTAACAGATGCATAGTTTCCAAATATTTTCTCCCATTCTCTACATTCTCTGTTTACTCTGTTGGTAGTTTCTTTTGCAGTGCAAAAGCTCTTTAGTTTAATTAGGTCCCACTTATTAATTTTGTTTTTGTTACAGTTGTTCTTCTGGACTTAATTAAAAATTCTTTGCCAAGGCCAACATCAAGAAGCGTATTTCCTAGGTTTTCTTCTAGACTTTTGTAGATGGAGGTGTTGCATTTACATCTTTAATCTACCATGAGTTAATTATTGTATAGAGTCCACTTTCATTCTTCTGCATATGGCTAGTCAGTTTCCCAGAACCATTTATTGCTGGAGAGTTCTTTCCCCACAGGAAAGTGGCAGAGTCCTTTCCCCACTACTTATTTTTGTTGACTTTGTTGAAGATCAAATGGTTGTAAATGTGTCACTTTATCTCTGGATTCTCTAACCAGTTCCACTAGTCTATGTATCTATTTTTGTAGAAGTAGCAAGTTGTTTTGGTTACAATAACCTTTGGGGTTGGTTTGTTCTCTCTCTCTTTTTTTTTTCTAGTTCCTTTAGGTGTAAAGTTAGATCATTAATTTGTGATCTTTCTAACTTCTTGATGAAGGCGTTTAGTACTATAAACTTTCATTTTAACAATGCTTTAGCTGCATCCAGAGATTTTGGTAGGTTGTGTTTCTATATTCATTAATTTCAAAGAATTTTTGGATTTCTGACTTAATGTATACGTTTACCCAATTAGTTATTCAGGAGCAAGTTGTTTAATTTCCATACATTTTTCGTAGTTTTGAGAGATCTTGACAGTGATTTTTATTATTCTTTCACTGTAACTTAAGTGTGTTCTTGGTATGATTTCTTTTTTTTTAATTTATTGGGACTTACCTTATGACCAAGCATGTGGCTGATCTTAGAATATGTTACATATACAAGCAAGAAGAATGTATGTTCTGTGGTTGTTGGGTGGAGTGTTCTGTAGAAGTCTATAAGGTCTGATTGGCCAAATGTCAAGTTTAAGTCCAGAATTTAATTGTTGGTTTTCTGCCTGGGTAATCTAACTCTATAAGTGGGGTGTTGAAGTCTCCCCCTACTATTGTATGGCTGTCTAAATCTTTCTGTAGGCCAGGAAGAACTTGTTTGATGAATCTGGGTGCTCCAATGTTGGATGTGCACATACTTAGGATAGTTAAGTCTTCTTATTATACAATAGCCTTTATCAGTATAAAATGTACTTCTTAATTTTTGTTGGTTTAACCTCTGTTTTAGCTAAGAGTAGTAACTTCTCTTTTTGTTTTACATTTGCATGATAGATCTTATTCTATGCCTTTACATTGAGCCTGTGGTTGTTGCTACATGTGAGATGGGTCTCTTGAAGACAGCAGATAATTGGGTCTTTTCTTTGTATCCAGCTTGCAACTCTATATGTTTTAAGTGGGGCATTTGTTTGCATTCAGGGTTAGTATCGATATGTGTAATTTTGATCCTGTCATTGTGTTGTTAGCTAGTTGTTAGGCAGACTTGATTGTGTGATTGTTTTATATTAATAGGACCTATGGGCTATGTACTATGTGTTTTTGTGGTAGTTGATGTCATTTTTTTTTTCAGTTCCATGCACTCCCTTAAGGACTTCTTATAAGGCTGGTCTAATTGAAATGTATTCCCTCAACATTTGCTTGTATGAAAATGATTTTCTTTCCTTCACTTAAGATGATTAATGAATAAGTTTGATGAGATATGAAATTTTTGGTTGGAATATTTTTTCTTTAAGGACATTGAAAACAGGCTCCTGATCTTTTCTGGCTTTGTAAAGTTTCTGCTGACAGGTTTGCTGCAAGCCTGATGGGGTTTCCTCTGTACACAACTTGACTCTTCTCTCTAGCTGCTTTTAAGACTTTTTCTGTGTGTCTTGACCTTGGTAAATATGATGACCTTGGTGAATGTGATGACTATGTGCCTTCAGATGGTTGTCTTGTATAGTTTCTCATGCGGGTTCTCTATATTTCTGGTATTAAATGTCAAACTCTCTAGTGTGATTAAGGAAATTTTGTTGGGTTATATTCTCAAATATATTTTCCAAGTTGTTTATTTTATCTGTTTCTTGCTCTGGAATGCCAGTAACATAGATTTCTTTACATAATCACATATTTCTCAGAAGTTTTGCTCATTTTTAAAAATTATTTTTTCTTTATTTTGGCTTGACTGAATTAATTCAAAGAACCAATCTTCGAGCTCAGAGTTTTTTTTTTTTTCCTCAGCTTGGTCTATTCTGCTGTTAATACTTCCAACTGTGTTATGAAATTTTTTTAGTGAATGTTTTACTTCTGGAAGGTCAGTGTGGTTGTTTCCTAAAATGACTATTTTGTCTTTCAGCTCTTGAATTAATTTACTCGATTCCTTGGATTCCTTGGATTGGGTTTTAACTTCCTCCTGAATCTCAATGAGCTTCCTTGCCATCTTAATTCGAAATCTATGTCTGTTTTTCAATCATTTGTGACTGGTTAAGATCCGTATCTGGCGAGCTACTAGGCCAGTTTGGAGGTAAAGAGATACTCTAGCTTTTTGAATTTAAACAGATGTTGTGCTGGTTCTTTCTCATCTAGGAGGATTTGTGTGTCTTTAACTGTGGATTAAGCTGAGTATAGTTAGCTTTGTTTCTGGATGTTTTTAGAGGACCAAGTCTATGTGCAGGGTCTTTATTTGTGGCTGAATTCCTGCCCTTAGTTTTACAGGTAGGTGGCTCTGCAGGGCTGGGCGGGTGGGGGGAAGAAAGGTGACTCCATCACTAAGTCCACAACTGCGCCCCTGTTAGCGTTCCAGGCTGCAGGGGCCATGGCAGAGAAACAGGCCACACCTTTTCCGGGCCAATCCTGCAGAGGCACACCCTGCTCCTGCAGCAGCCCCCAAACCACCACAAATCACTCCTCTGTGTACTCTGAGAGGACCAATTCTCTTCCACTTGAGTGCTGGCCATAGATTTCTGACTTGCCACTCTCAAGCTGTGCACCGCAATCCTGGGACAAGTTTCAGGCTCTTTGTTCCCTCCCCAGCTTTGAGGGAGCAGGGATGGGAACCTCAGTCAGGGCAATGGGAGATGGCCTGTCAGTCATTTGTATTCAGGAGCTCAACTCTAGAGAACCACAGAGCTGCTGCCAATCAGAATAATCAATTGTTGGTGGGGTGGCTGTGTTGCTGGCCAGAGAAAGCTGGGGGCCCTGTCTGGGGAAGACCAGGGGGTGGGGAACTTGCAGGGAAGACAGACTGGCCTCTTCTCCATAGGGTTGCTGCAGCCAGAGGCCCTGCTTAGTGAGGAATAACAGTGTAGAGTCCCACAAGCAAAACAGTCCACATGCTTTTCCATACAGTGACTGCAAAGCGCTGAAGGCCTGAAACAGTTCTTAGACTCTTTGCTCCCACCCAGCCTGAGGGCAGCAGGGTTGTAAATTGTGGCAATGGCAATTGCGGTGGGCCTGTAGTTGACCTCTGGGAGCTCTATTCTAGAGAAATGGAGAGGTATTACCAGTCAAAGTGCTCAGGCAGAGGTGGAGTGGCTGTGCTGGGGTCCCAGGTGACTGAGCTTTGCCTGGCGAGGTGGAGCCCGCAGTTCATATGCCCCTCAGCACTGTGGATGTGGCTCATACCCTGGGGCACATGAGACAGCCTTGCCTCCCTTGGTGGGGCTACAGCAGCTGGCTACAGCAGTTCAAGTTTCCAAGTCCTGTGGAGCTCCACGTGGGCCTGGGCAGCAGTTCTGCCCAAATTGCAGGTAGCTCTCTGTGTCAGCATGGAGGTCCCATATTGACTGTGGTGGGAAGATCTTCTGTGCCCAAGATTGCAAAGGTCTGTTACAGTAGGTATCTAGTCAGGGGTGAGCAGGACGGGAGAGGGCTCCCCCAACCCCACCAGGAATGTCAGGAGACTATCAGGTGATGGTCAGGCGGTTGTTACACTGTCTCTCTAAAATAATTGATCACAGCCAGTGCCAGGGAAAGCAGTCTCGCAATAGATAGAATCACCTAAAACTGATGAACAGCAGCGGATCAGCAGCTTCCCAACATCTCAGGAGTTCAGCGAGTGGGCTCAGGCATGCGCGTTAAGAGGCAAAATGGAGGCGTTTAACTCGTATATGACCTTCCAGGGGCATTTGGCTGGTAAGGGAAGAATACCTCAAGTGGGCATGCGTATGACTCCTGTAAACACACTGAACATGCTCACCTCCCAAGTGCTAGCAGTCCACTGCACATGGGGACAGCCCACCCCAAGGAAAGAATCAGGGGAAGAGGGAGGCAAAACCCCAGAGGCATGCCATCATATAAAACCTCAAGTCAAAAGGTCAAACTGTGCACTTGATCTTTCAAGTTGCCCACTTGGCCCTCTTCCAAGTGTACTTCACTTCCTTTCATCCCTGCTCTAAATCATTTTAATAAGATTTCACTCCTGCTCTAAAACTTGCCTCCATCTCTCCTTCTGCCTATGACCCTCAGTCAAATTATTTCTTTTGAGGAGCCAAGAGGTGAGGTTTCTGCAGACCCATATGGGTTTGCCACTGCTAATGGGTCCATGGCAGAAGTTTGGGTTGCCAGGGGCTCTCACTCACTCATCCTTTCTCCACCATCCCCTGGCTCCATGCCAATCCTGGGGAGGCAGCTACTCTGCCTCACTCCTCTCTGCCATCTGTGGTTTGCTGTTGTTTCCTTGCTGAATCCCAGTGTGGCCTCCTTTATGATCCACTTAAAGGGCTACTGTTTACTCACCACTCTGTCTCCTCTCTATTAGAGAAGCACATACTAGCTGCTTTTATTCAGCCATCTTGGCTCTGTCCCCTCACAAGTCACTGTTTATCTTGTTTTTGTCTCTTTCTTAAATACCTCAAAATAAGCATGTAGAAATATCAATTTTAGGCCGGGCGTGGTGGCTCACACCTGCAATTCCAGCACTTTGGGAGGCCGAGGCAGGTGGATCACCTGAGGTCAGGAGTTTGAGACCAGCTTGGCCAACATGGTGAAGCCCCATCTCTACTAAAAATACAAAATTTAGCCAGGCGTGGTGGTTTGCACCTGTAATCCCAGCTACTTGGGAAGCTGAGGCAGGAGAATTGCTTGAACCTGGGAGGCAGAAGCTGCAGTGAGCCAAGATCTGGCCACTGCACTCCAGCCTGGACAACAGAGCAAGATTCTGTCTCAGAAAAAATAAATAAATAAATAACCATTTTAAATTTGTAACATCATTGAACTCTTGTATTCTCTGTTGGATCTTGCTTAATAAAACCTCTAAACCAGCATATCTCAAAATTAGAATTCTGGAAACAGATTTCAGTGAGTAAATACCAGTAATGGTGAGAAGTACCAGCTTCACTTATAGCATGTAATCTCAGATCTGGCTCTGGAGGAATTGCTTATTCAGGGCAAATTATGCATTTTATAATACCTCAAACCCCAAAGATGTTCCTTTGCAATGGCACTATAACTGAGGGTTTGTTGGACCATTCCATATTTCTATAGGACCACCTGTTTCTACTTGTTGTGTACTATGGCCAATATAAGGTCTTTTCTCATTCCAACCATGTGATTCAGGGAGCATGAGGAGGGAGGTAGCTTATTTTCCATGTGACCCCATCTTTTTGAAATTTTAAGACCTTAAGATTAAAAGACACATCCTCTCTCTCAGTGGTAGTGCTGAAGCATTCAACTTATGCCTATGAAATTCATAATATAAGCAAGTTGTGCCAAACCTCTCATAGAAAGTTAACCCGTGGCATCATTAACTCTGTAGGAGAAGCATACAGAAGCGAAATGACAACCAATATACTCAGAGTCTGAAAATATGAAAAATTACCCAACTTAGTCATGCCAAAGGAGTTGTCCTCACTTGTTTTGGTAATTTTTGCAGATATAATTAAAAAGGAGCTTCACAAACTTCTACTTGTGGGTAAATACTAGGGGATCATGATAAGCTGGACTTGGTCCTAAGACATTTTGAAACTAACTTGCTTCCTAGCAGAATACATCCTCAGCTGCAATGGAAGGAAACTTCAGGATATAGGATTTAGATTGGAAAGGCCGAGATAACTATGAAAGAGAAAAACAAAGGGTAATTTCAGAAAAAAAGTAAGGGATGAAAGAAGAGAAAATCTCAGAAAATAGGCCATATTTGTTAATAGTTAAAATCATTGAGAAGACTCAGCCCAGTTATATAAAACTAGGCCTTCAGACACACCAAGTCTCCCCTACTAAAAACATGGTAAAATCTACCACATTATAACATGAGTAAAATAACAATTTCACTCAAATTAAAGTTATCAAATATAAAAGTAATAATAAACTGAGTTAAAACTACAAATAACATAAGCATTTCAGAGACTTATTCAAGGGAGGAAAAAGACAACTTTGTAAATATATACAAGATTTAGAAAATGACATTAGAAATGAGAACAAAGCTGTAATTCAGAATTGGGAAAACACAATCACAATATTATTGGACAAAAAATAGCAACAGACTTTAGTAATACATTATAAATGAAAAAAACTATTTCAGAAATAAAGAAAAAGAATGAAAGTCACAAAAATGCAAATTAATACAATTCATAATGCCACAAGGTAAAGAAGAGTATAAAAAGGAAATTATTTTTAATAAAGACCAATGAAAACAAAAATAAAATAATCTGAAGAAATAGATAAAAAAGAGTGGCAAAAAAACAATCTAACTTAACTATACTAGGAGTATCCAAAGAATGATGAAAATCAATAAAAAGGCTGAACAAACATAGTGAAAAAGCACATTTGGAAGATTTGCCAGTCATGGGGGTAGACTGAGGCAGCTATATAAACACTTCTAGTTATAAGAATTATAAAATTTGTACAAAATATAAAACAACAATTAAAAGACATTGAAATATCAAAAAAATAAGAGATGGAGGAGTATTTGCTTTTAAGAAATTGCTCTGGAAATTAGTGACACATTTGTGATTGGAACTTTCTTACCAAGGGTGCTACTTAAACTTCTGTGGAAAATATTGGCAGTGAAAACATGAGCAGTTAGAAAATTCAGGTCCAGAAAAACAGCTAAAATTTGAATAGATATTGAGACAAAAGAAGAAGAAGACAGAGAAAGAGACACGCACAAAGTTTTAGTATAAACCAAACCCATAGTATTAGCTGGTTACTAAATATATATGAGTAAGTAACAATAAGTGGACACGACCACAAAGCAGGCAGGGTCAATTTAATAAATACTTGTCAAATAGAACTGTATACTGAGTGAGTTCTTTGTTTCTTCTTTTTTTGCAATTGTTGTGTTCTGATTTGTTTATAAAGTTAGTGGAGCCTCCAACAATGAACATCTCTAGTAGCAGAAAGGCAACAACTTATGTCTTAAGTAATCAGAAGACAGGTCAAGTTTGGCAGATATAAACGAAATTCTGTTTGTGTGATAAAGCAAATGTGACTTTATTTCAAAGTGATAAGGGCTTCAGGAATCTGAGGCCAAAATTGTTGGATTTAGGTACTGCAAAGAAATAGAACAATTAGGATGTGTATACAGAAAGAGATTTATCTTAGTAACTTGGCTCATGTGATTATGGAGGCTTAGGAGATTGATCCAAACATTAGGCATTGATCTAGTGATGTCTCTCTGTCACTATTGTAAATTGACTTAGTTTGTCTCATGATGAAATTAACAAGTCTTATTTAGTCTTAGCTTCCATCTTTCTGGCGATCTATATGCTTCCTTAAAGTTTCAGTTTGATTATGTAGCATTTAGCATTACTGGCTCCATGTCAGTTTGGTCCAGTCTGTTGGGGTCTGGTGCAGGAGCTCAGTCCAAACCATGACCTCCCATAATTGAGTTTAACAATTCTGCTTTTTGGTCAGTTTCTCACCTAATACTTAGGGTTTTAGCACTACTCTCATTTGCCATCGTTTTGAGTTTCAGTCTCAACATATCCATCATAGGTTACAGTGTCCTCATGATTATACATTTATTTGAGTTTTTGTCATTCCAGTGGAAGAGAAACCATTTGACATTCTAAGGATAGCTGCAGGCAAACATTTAAAACTTTTGAGAGAATATGGTGCACCAAGGAGACAACCAGGATGGCAATCAGTGGTTAATATAAAAAGTATGAAGTAGGCTTTTAGCCAGGGTCCACTGACAAACCAACCAAAATAGAGTAGACCAAATCATGAGCCAAATGAGGAGTTGCCCTTGTTTAACCAAGCAGCCTGTAGATTAATTCCCTGCAACTGAATCTTTATAATAACCAATATATTCAACCATATGCAATAAAAAGTGGGAACAATTACACAGATTTCTCTCTATTCAGCTAGAAGTTAATCCAGAGCAATTCTATTATCTAGTACAACTTTTGCAAGATAGGTAAAAGAAATCTATTGTGCAACCATAATCTTTGCCATAGAATCTACTATAGAGCCATCAGGAGAAATAAGTGTCTAATCATTACCTTATTTATATTTACCTCAAGCCATAGAAAAAGGGACCTAGCAAATAATGTTTATTTAGAAGGATGAAGACCTTCCAGCAATGTATCCTTTAACCTATCCCATAGGTTAAAAAGAGTTGACCAATGTTCTCTTTCTTACTGATTGTGGAGCAACAAAAGTACCATTAAAGTTATCAGCCCACATTGTTCCTTCATCTTTCCTAATTGAGGTATAAGACTACCCATGTGTGAGGTTGGCTCTAAAATTCTCCATCAATGAAAGTTTACCCCATGGGTAGTCTGGAACTGGAGAACTTTTGGAGAATTGTGTTTTTCAAAGAGGTGTAAGGAGGAAAAAATTAAAATAGGAGATGGCTCTATGAAGACAGAGAAATTTTTATTATAATCTAGAGAAAGTTGTGCATATCTAGGATGCTGTCTGCTTCTGGGAAGAAACTTCCCTGGTTAGCTTTACTTTAAGGTTTCCAACGGGTATACAGTTTCAAGAGTCTGGAGAAGATTTTCTTAGTTGTGAGATTATGGACCCAAGTTTTGAGGTCCCAAAGTTTTGCTGCAATGTGCATGGCAAGAGCAGTTATTCTCTGATGTCATTTCCAGAGAACCAAATATCTGGATTCTAGATCATGAAGGGTTTGATTGTCCTCAGTCAGTGGATCATAAAACTCTTCTTTAGCTGGTAAAAATATATTTTGGTTTAATACATTAAAGTCTTGTAGCATTTAGTCATATCAGAGTTTAGGAGCAGAAGATACATGAGGTTCTACTATTAGTACATAGTCCTTCCAGTGACTAATTCATAAGCAGCTGACTTATGTTTTCCCTTGGAAGTGGGTCTGATTGTCATCAATCTGCTATACTTTTCACCAAGGCAATACAGTCAATTCAGTTAGTTTGCCTATTACTATTCTATCTATAATATCTTATTTAACTGCTTTGCAACTTACCTAATGAAACAAGTTCCTCTATTGTGGTAGATTTTTTTTTCCCATGAAGAAACACGTTTCCTTACAATCTCTTAGATACTACTATAGCCTCAGCCTTCCTGCATCGGGAAGCTTCCACACAACCGGAAAACCTTTAAAATGTCAAGTGAATAAAATCCCTCATATTGAAATTGTCCATCGGGTAGCAGAAATGTACCTAAAATTTTTATTGTCTTTCCAAAATTTGGGGTTTGACAAATCAAATATTGGTTATAAACCATTTGTTAGCATGCTGTCTTTTCATTGAGTTACATTTATTTATACATCATCTTTATAATCATAATATTTAACAGGGTCTGACAAAAAAGTGCATGTATGTGTGTTTCTATGCCCCATTCACAATCTCAAAAACTATCATATTTATCTATTCATCCATTCTATTCACTTAACTTACTATGTGTCAAATACTCTTCTATATGCCTAAATGTCCATAATGAACACAATGAAAAAAATGCTAAGATCATTCACCATGATTTTCAAGTTAGAAAATTCAAAATTTTGGAGGATCTTGGAAAATGTTATCTGCAATTTCTGCCTGAAATATATCTCTTGAGTATGTCAACTTTTCTCTATTTCAAACTTATGTAAGTGACCTTACTTTAATGGTCAATTATTTTCAGGTTTTTTTATTTGAACGTAATGTGCCACAGCTCTCTGGACCACAGTGAATAGTTTAACAAGAACATTTTTCTATTCTTCACTGCCAACATTAAATACAAAAAAAAATTCACTTTCAGTTATCTTTGATGATGAAATTTACTTCACCCATCATTCCTAATCTTCAGCTTACCTCAGCTAAGCAGAGTGAAATATTCCATATGTTGTCTTTCCACAATCAATTGCAAATGTGTATACAATATAATTTCCACACAGCAGAGAGAATAATTAAGGGCCAAATGTAGATAATGTCAATTGCTTGCTTCCTGCAACTGAAATAAGTGTTATAACTAAGACACTTACACAGCCCTCAATAATCTAGTCCCTCTCAGCTCTTTGCCTTAACCTTGTCTCACTTAATAATGCACTCTTCTACAGCTATATGAAACTTAAGAATGCACATTTTTCTCCTAACACCCTACATGTTGAACATGCACTTTTAACTACAAGGAATATATTTCCTTTGATTGATAATTCATATACTAATTTAAGATTTCTTCATAATAAGCAATTTTTAAAGTATATATCTTTGACTTCTAAATTATTATGGGTATCATTATATGATCCCTTAGCCTCATACCTCATTTTATAGTATTAGTCATTTCGTAAGTACACATCATATTTGTTTCTTGGCTCTATTCCCAGTCAGACAATAAACTTCATAAACTATACAATCAGGTCTGCTTTACTTTGTCCAGTGCTTAGCAACAAAGCTTGAGTGGAGCATTTGTTTAATTAATAATTTTTGAATTAATGAAGGAACAGAAAATTATTTAGACATAAAAACAAGTGGTTAAGAGAAAGTGATTTTTAATGATCCATATAGTCCCATTTATTCCCTGCTAGTTCTCTAATACGCTTCTACGGGCCCTTTATTAAGTGATAGCTAGTTCCCTCCTTAAATGATTATAAATCAAATTTCAACTTTTTCAAGTACATTTTCTCAGCTTTCTTTGTGTATTCTTGCTGTGACTCATCTTACAGACTCTCATTAAAGCCTGGTTAATTTACGTTTGCTAAGTGATTCCATTGCTAAATTATCTATTCTTACATTATCGACCATTTCATTTTCCTTTTGATTTCCCACCTTTCAAATCCTCTCTTTTTCACCATTATCTCATGGTTTGGAATAAATTCTCCTTAATCTGCTGACTAGAAGATGTAATTATTAAATGTAAAGTGTATGTGTAGTTTTAAAAATGTGAATTCATAGATATTTACATTTTAATAAAATTTGTCATAATTATTTTAAATGACAGAAATGTATTTATCAAGGTTGCATATTTGCAATATTATCTGAATTATGGGCTAAATCCTACTGATTGTACATGACTACAGTTAAAATATATTTAAAAGAAAAATTTTTTAGCTAAAAATGTAAAAGCAAAGTAACCATATTAAGAAAGTACATCATAGAATGATTTGAACGAAAAAAATCTTTGAAGGAAAACAAATTTTTATTTATTTAGACTATGAAAATCTAAGATTTGTAATCCTCTACCTTCCTAAGTTACCTTTAAAAAATGAATTTCTCCCTCCTTATAGACTAAATCTGAATAAGATTCAGACATCACAGTCTAATTAATCTAAGATGAAGTTTGTTTAAATTGTGATTTGATTAAAAGAGATGAACAATTAGAAAGAATATTTTGTTTACATCATCATGAGATTTCCTGAAATTAATATTGCAATTATAAAACCACAAAAATATTTATTATGCTGTTTTGATTGAAATGTTCCTCTCCCTTGAATGTCTTTCTCTCATCATTTTAGGTGTTGATGCAAATGTCAACTTCCCTGTAAAACCTTCCATTACTACCGTGCCTATATTAGCAACAATTCTTTCAACCTCTGTCCACCGTTTACCCTATTTGATTTTGCTCAGATCCTTTATTATTATCTAACATTATTCATATATTTTACAGACTCAAATGGAAGCTACTAGAAGGCTTCCAAATGGAAACCCCTTGTTACTTTATTATCCAGTGAATCTACAGTTTCTAGATTACAATTTGGCACATGTTGAGTTAAAATAACAATAGTGTTAAAATAACAATGTTTATTAAGTAAATATGTAATTGCCATTGTATATATTATTATTTTTTACTGAGGACATATTCATTTAATAATAATAGAAAGGAATCTTAATAGAATAGTGGAATATAGCATATCTTCATTCTTTCTTTTTCAATGAATTATTTAAAAACCGCTAGAATTAACAGATAAAAGTCATTTTTTATAATGTACTATTCATTTGAAGTTACAAATGGGCTATTTATAATGCGATAAAATGATTTTACTTCTGCCTGAAAATAGTATGTTTAGAGGACTATAAACTCAGTGATATAATAAATTCGTAAGTGTACCATTATTGATGTAACCAAAATATGCTTCAGCAGGTAGGTTAACCATAAAAATTAACAAAGCCTAATAATTTCAAGCATGAGATGTGGAGCTTGTCAAACTAGTTTTGAACACATTGACTCTACCACAAGCTCTATGTATGGCCTGGGAAAAGTTATGCAATTATTTACAGCTTCAGTGACCTCATCTATGAAATGGAGATAATAAATTCTCTCACATTTATAAAGATATTGAAGACTTTTTAAAATTATCATACATGAAAACCTCAAGATATTTCCTGATACGTGGTTATCAGAATTGCACCTACATTAGGAGAGATGAGAGTATATCTTTACTGAAGCTGTAATATTCTGATGTATATTATAATCTTTATTATATGTTTGAAATATTAATATATTATGAATTCAAGTGTAAAATTAAACATGAACTCTAAGATGAGATTTTGCACTTTCTTTGATAGCCTTTGTGTATTTTAACAAAACCTAATGGGTGTGGTGGACCCTGTAATCCCACCGTTTTGGGAGGCCAAGGTGGGTGGATCACAAGGTCAGGAGTTCGAGACCAGCCTGACCAACATGGTGAAGCCATTTCTACTAAAAATACAAAAATTAGCTGGACGTGGTGGCTTGCACCTCTAATCCCAGCTACTGTGGAGGCTGAGGCAGGAGAATTGCTTGAACCTAGGAGGCGGAGGCTGCAGTGAGCCAAGATCATGCCATTGCACTCCAGCCTGAAAAAAAAAAAAAAAAAAAAAGAAAACCAAAATCACAGTTTCATTACCTAGATATTTAGGGGAGCAAAGGGAAAAACATCAAGAAACTTAAATGTATAACAAATTGAAAAAAATGTTTTAATAGTATGTACATTTTTTAGAGAAGTTAACTTTAATATATGTTATTTTGAACACTTTTTAGAATCTAATTGCCCTTGGCCCGCTTAAGTACTCCACAAAAATAAATAAAGGCTATATCTAACTTATTTTTCTTTTTAAATGAATTTTCTAAATTTTTTCCTGAACTAGGTATGTGCTTCTGTAGCAAACTGATTCATCTCATTCATTAAGTAAACATGTTATGTCAAACATACAAGTTACTATCAATTTCAATTTTGAATCACAAAATGAAATAAAGCATATAAAATGCAAATTATTTAATTAAGTTACTTAACTTGTATGGCATATTATTTGTATAGAGTAGAAGGGCTTGAAACAGGTGGCAAGATGAGGGTTTCAAATGTCCACTCTTTTTCATTATTATCCTAACTAAAATTTTAATACAGTTTTAAACATATATTTGGACTTTGAGCCTTTCCAGTGAAAAATAATTTATAACTGATAAGGCACTTAAGAGATTGTAAACAACATTGACAAAAATATTAACCTCTGTTTAGGAATTCTTATTTTCCAAATAACATGCAATATTTAAAGATATGCAATATTACTCCACTCTGAAGAATATATATGTACAGAATATAGAGCTCAAGCTTTGCTGTTTGAAAATGATTTTGAATTTCCTTTCCATCAACTTACAAAGTCTTTAACTTTGGAGAAATTACTTTGCTTAGATGAACTTTTAGTTTCTCATGTTTAATATGTGAGTAACAATTGTGTCAGTTAACATATTTGATATAGGGATTGTATGAGATGTAAATCACTTAGCATACTAACATTTATAGTGTTCACATACTAGACCAATTACTTCCATTATTCATATCTATGTTTCTTAAAAAGTTCCTGAATCTAATTAATCTCTTTCAATTTACCTGCCTGGTTATGTAACCATCATAATTCTAAAAACAAGCAAATTCAATTAATTATGCAGCACATATTAATGGAATTACCTAAAGACTGAAATTAAAGCATCCCTTGTAAAATATGTTTTACCAGAAATAAAATAGTATTGTGAAGTAGGAATAAATATTCTAAGAAATCCAGGGTTTTATTCTGAAAATCTGAAATATCTACTACAAGTATTAACATCATTTGATTCAGCTGGAAGATGCTGTTGAAAATTATGATTAATAATTCCCCTGCTTTCTTTTTATTCCCCATTTGGCCTTTAATTACAGTAAGGGTACTATCACTAGACTACTTCTTCCCACTGTGTATCCCGATGAAATAATTGCACCGCATGGCATATAAAAGCTTCATGTTCAGACTGTTATTTTGGTCTCTTTAGCAACATAAATGCACCTGTTCCGAACACAATTAGGATAGGCCATACTGAAGATAATCAAAACAAATAATGAAAAATGGTTTTGCTTGATTTGGAAAATAAGGCATAATGTCTACTCAGGCATTGGCAAAGCTTCGATAGTAATGCTGTGTGGAATTAGCATATTTAATGAAAATTGATTTTGTTTATGTACAGAGGTAATGGATATGCCTGAATAATTTCTGGGCACTGACTCATAGTTATTAATTATTATTTTATAATTTACCCAAGACAATTTAAGCCAAAGGTAGCATCTGTTTGGCACCAAGGTTCTACTTAGATTTAATTTTCCAGTTCAGGGAAATAGCTACAGAGAGTGGAATAAACTCTTCAAGGTCACAAAAACAGTAATCTGCTTTGATTAGTGATATATAATCTACTGCAAGCCAGATACTCAATTATGAGTTTGCCAGCAAAGTAAATTCATGTCCATATGTTATAAGGAGATGAAAGTCGGTTTGTAGATAAAGAATTAGACTGAAGTCTCTTTTTCTTTTTAAATAAAAATTTCCTTTCCTTTCAACATTTCTAAAAGTATACCTATAATTGCCACGTTAATAATTTTTTACCATGTTATATTATCTTATTTATGTTATATTTCTGTTATCTTTCTCACTTTTCTTGGAAAACAATAAAAAAGTACTCGTGGTGTATGCACTGTCAAATTGTAAGTAATGTTTTGAATTAATATTTATATATCTGAGGTAACTTTATACATGAGACCAAAATTGAATATAACTTTTAAATTTTTGGTTAAAAAAACAGTCTCTAAACCACATTTCAGGGTCGGTGTATCTTCTAAAAATTTTCAACATGTGCACCCTTGTTATTTGCACAGTGTTTGCAGTTTGAAATTCATTATCACATTTTATTCTAAATTGCAATCACCATAAAAAATGTATAAACATTATTACATCACAGAGAAAATTGAGACCAAAGGAGAATGTTTTCTTTAGAAAATTAAACCATCTAATAAGTGACAGGAAAGAAGCTGTATCTTTTGACTATAATCCAGGAGGGCATCCGCCTTGTTCACTGCCATCTCTCTAATACTAGACTTGAAGCTCAGAGTGGGGTTCAAGCAATAGTGGGTGAGGTGAATTTTGTTGAAATCTCCTGCTCTTTCCATTATAATGTGCTTCCTCATTCCAATAGAAAATTGTGTTTGTGCATGCAATGTCACAATTTCAAGTATATTCCTTTATGAAATTTTAGAACTTTATGGAAAAATTCTCTTAGGCACTATGCAGTGTTTTATCCCCAGTGCTGTCTGTTATTAAAGGCTCTGAAAATATAATAATTAAGAAAAAAATTGCCTGCTACCCAGGAATTTTATATTTCCAGTTTAATTGAGAATCTAGCCGAAAGAAAAATTACTGTTGGTAAGGGATGTTTATCTTCCTTTATATAATTAAGTTTTACGAAAAGTTAAAAATGAAACATATCGGCATATCTTATTGAAATAGAATCTATCTAAATAATAGCTTTGTCTCTTGTCATATACAATTAGACATTCTAAATATTCTGTCTACGAAATCCACGCAGAATTAAAAAGTGATTATCTTTGGTATTGATAACAATTATGTAGTTTAACTTGGTATGTTTAAAACAGTTATCTCTTCCCTCAAATGGAATATATCTTGATCTCCAGCTGGGCGCGGTGGCTTAAGCATGTAATCCCAGCACTTTGGGAGGCTGAGGTGAGTGGATCGAGTTCACGAGTTCCAGACCAGCCTGGCCAAGATGGTGAAACGCCGTCTCTACTAAAAATACAAAAATTAGCAGGACGCAGTGGCAAGCGCCTGTAATCCCAGCTACTTGGGAGGCTGAGCCAGGAGAATTGCTTGAACCCGGAGAGTGGAGGTTGCAGTGAGCCGATTTCCTGACAGTGCACTCCAGCTTGGGCAACAGAGTGAAACTCCGACTCAAAAAAAAAACAAAAAAAACAAAAAAAAAAAACGAAGAATATATCTTGATGTCTTTTAAAAATAAGATTTCAGATACATTTCTCCAAAGTCTATTATATAACATACTAAATAATATTAAATCTGAAAATCTAAAAAAAAGAGAATATATGGCCCCATTATTGCTGTAGTTAACAAAGTAGGATTCTACATGGCTCTTCATGTCCACAGGGCAAGATCCTATCAAAGATTCTATGACCTGAATGCAATAATTGTATTTAAGCATGTACTTGCTATACTTTCTTCTTTCTTTACACACACACACAAACACACAGAAACACAAACACACTCTTTAGTTTATTTGAAGATGATGTATATAATATAGAGTCAATGACTTTCTCCAACTAGGTAAGATTTATGTGAATCCAATTTTATTTCAGTACTCACTAATATTTTCTGGTGTCTCTGTGAGTTGTTATAATATTTCTTGTTCCTTAACAAGTCTCGGAAAGAAACCCAACAAAATTATTCTTCATAATGAATGATTAAAAGCCACATACAGTATCAGCTAGAGGTACTGTACAGACAGCAAGCAAGTGGAGTCATTGTAGCCTGTGTTCAGCTCATTAAATATCATTAATTCATGTAGTCATTCAACAAATGTTCATTGAACATCAAGTTTTTTCCAGATATTATCTAGATGCTGAGTACACAGGTGTAACCAAAATACCATTTTTAGGAAATTCTAGTGGCAGGAAAATGGGAAAAACAACTAACTGTATAGCTAAATTGTCACATAATGATTAAGTACAGTATTAGTTTGCTAGGGCTGTCATAATAAAATAGTACACACTGAGAAGCTTAAATAGCAGAAATTTATTTTCTCACATCCTTGGAGGCTAGAAGTCCAAGATCAAGGTTTCAACAGGCTTAAACAACTTCTAAGGTCTCTTTTCTTGTCTTGAAGTTTGTAGGGGATCGGTCAGCGTGGTGGGAAAATTATAAGAAAAGTATAGGGAAAGATGCAAACCTACTTTGAAGGCTGGGAGGTTTTGCAAAAGCTTTGGAAAAGAATTATCGCTGAAGGCAGCCAAATTGTCTTATCCAGAGGTTGAGAGCAAAGGGCAGATAACAAGGGAATGTAAAGGAACTTATCTAGATAAATTTGTTTACTCCTATCTCCAGAAACCAACCTTTGATTATTCGCGTACAGGACTGCTCTCTACTTAGGGGGTTGGCAATGTTTATTACCCACAAATTGTGTTTGCTCCAAGCCTTTGTCATTAGATCTGTACTAAATAAATGTGAGTGGGGCTGGCTTAGCGGGGCAGCGGCACTCTCATCAGCAGTGCTGAGCCATGAAGTCCCCTAGCCATGCTGTCAGGCAAAATACCTGTGGCAGCGTACTTCTTTCATCCGTTTCTCAGCCAGAATCTGAGGACAGACTTGGCAGTAGGGGCCATCTTCCCTGTTTTCATAAGGTTGTCTCTCTGTATGTGTCTAACCTAAGCTCCTCTTCTTATAGGAGCATCGGTCATACTGGAATAGAGACCACTCTAATGACATTATGTTACCTCTTTCAAGACCCTATCATCAAACACAGTCACATTCGGAGGTGCTTGGGTTTGGGAATTCAACATACGAATTTCGAGGAGACACAATTCTTCTCATGATGTACTAAGAAGAAAAATAAAACCAACTAGGGAATAAATATAGTGAATACCTGCTTCAATTGCAGGAGGATGGGCATTTTTTTAAGGTTAAGCCCAAACCTTTCGTTTAAACCCAAATGATATAAGCAAGTTACATGTATTTCAGAGATGAGGACAATTTAGGCAGGGCAAAAAGCAACTGCAAAGACCAGAGTGACAGAGGTCAAGAGTCAAACAAAGGTGAGAACGATAGGATGATGCTGGAGATAAAACAGCACTGTCAATTATGTAGGCCAGAGAAGGTTATGGGATGATATTAGATTTTGTTTCTTATGGGAAGTTTATCAACGGCATATTAGCTAGAACTTACATAAAATAACATATTCTACTGAAAACAGCGATGCAAAGTTAAAGATCGAGTTAGACATATAAATAGCATCCATTAACAGTTAATGCAACTACAACTTGTGTAGGTAAGATTAAAAAGTAGTGTCTTTTTCACAGAATAAAATATCCCTGAGTGAAATGTCAAAGCAAAGAAAATGTGCCAGAAAAATGATCAAATCAAGACTTTCTAATATATCACTGTGAGGCTTCACTTTCCTTTCATTATGTATCTAAGTGGAAACACACTGTGCAGTTACACATCTCATCAGAATTTCATGTTCCTCTCTGGAAAAAAAAAGCAGATATCCAAAGAAACAGAAATTATTGAAAAGCATGTTTATACCCTGCTCCCTTATTATAGAAAATGATTATTTGACAAACAAAGAACTGTGGCTGTGAAAAAGGGCCAGAATATATTCACAGATGCAAAATAGCTTGATCACACTCTGCTTCAACTGGGAGTCCAAAGACAGCTGATTCCGTGCCTGCTCATAGAAGCTTGCTTCTGAGAAAAAGCTGCCAATGATTCCATTTTCAAAGGAAAGAAATTATCCTATCTCCAGGGGATTAAAATGAATCCGAAATTGTCACCTTTAGGAACTCAAATATCTTGAGTATTAAAGACTCACTCTGGACAACACACAAGCAATTTTCTTTTTACAATTTCAACACATTCTGAATATTAAGTTTGGGTTGAACATATTTGATTAAATTTTCTTAATTTTGTCAGGATTAAGGCATAAAGGCAGTGTAGTATCTGTCTAATTCTCTTGAGACAGAAGTAATCCTAAAGGTTTTCCTAAAGAAAACCAAAATTACTTCATCTGCTCTCCCTGAAGAATTTCAATTTTAAGTACTTTATTGGATAAGTCTTGACACACATAACATATATATATATATATATATAATTGACATTCTTTCACATACAGTATTTTCTCTTAGAATATTTTCTTAGTCACTCAAATTATAAGTCTGAAGCGAAGTAATCGTTTTGAATACTATACTGAAGCATAGATTTGTGAAGAAATTTTGCAGTAAGGCCACACACGTGATTCCTGTGTACATAGCCAAAGGCTGACTATAGAACAGTGAAATTTCGAAAAATCATTATGTTGTTTTTTTGTCTACCGGTTATGTTTTTAGTAAGGTAAAACTATTCAAAATTATCTCAGGAGCTGGAAAAATTTTACTTAAGCCTACTTCTCTGCTTCTTTACCATATGCATATAATTTATGTGTGTGCATATATATATTAAATTTATTCGGAAAATTATTGAAAATTTGAGATCTGTACATTAGAATTGCATATCTAAAATGTAGAGGACAAGAAAGGGAGATACACTCTTTTGTTGTTTTCAAAATGTTACAAGTAATGCCTAAGGAATATATTTGAGTCAATCATAAATCAAACTAGAAAAATACCTCTCTGCACAGATTCAAAATAATTTCTTCAGGGTGGGGAATGTGTCAGTTGTATAAAGAATAATATTAAACATGTTAGCCAGGATCTTGTGATTAATGATGGCAACAACTTTGAATATCGTAATATTCACATAAGTATTTCTTAGATGGTAAATCTGGTTTAAAATCATATGGTAATTATTAGAATATATTTCTGCAAAGACTTCTCCATCCAAATTAATATACTCTACTCATAAATACGTTTTTATACTTGTAATTAAGAATGTATATCTTTTACTTAAAATAAAACAATAGCTATTCATATATGTAATTATTTTACAACACTGTATTTTTTCCCACTTCAGTAATCTGTCAAATTAAAAGATAAAGTAACAGGTTTTCAAATTACCCAGATTTGGGGAATTCGTGACAGAACTCTTATAAAGCCAGATTATGAAATTTAGAAAAATGTTATTGCAAGAATGTGTCTGCAATTTTGAATTCCTTAAATTTTAAATGATTATTTGTAAAACTTCATTCCTTGCCTATTTTTACTCTCCTGAATGAACCATTCTATAGCCATGACATTATTTTCATAGTACTAAAATTAGAACAAGGTTTCACAGGCATCGTCTCATAGAGACAGGGGCAGGCATTCTTTTCTTCAATTTAGAGTTTACACAAGTAAGCTTGGAGAATTTGACATTTGCTAAATGTTGTTCTAACATATAGCTCTGTCAAATAACAAATTGTGGGCAAGGTTATTCTGTAGAAATGATCACATCCACATCTCATTGTACAGCACAGTATACTTTTCTATCATGCTCATGGAAGAAAGTCAGTGTCCTGGTTGATTGATTGATCCATCCTCTCAATCAGTTCTTCCTTGATCATAATTCATTATCACTGTCAGGATAGAACCAGCAATAGTAAGTCAACCGGTGGCTCATAAGACTAAGAATAATGAAAGATATCACTTCTGCTATTATTTGAACTGTTGTTTCCCCTAAAAAAAAACACTGATGTGTTGGAATTCTAACCACAAGATAATGATATTGTGAGCTGATGTTTGGGGAAGGCAATTCGATCATGAGGACGAGGTCCTTATCGGTGGAATTAGTGCTCTTGTAAAATAGGCCCAGAAAAATTTGTTCATTTCTTCCACCATGTGAGGATACAGTGAGAAGATACCATCTTGCTGGCACCTCAATCTTGGATTTTCCAGTCTCCAGAACTGTAAGAAATACATTTATCTTGTTTATTAGCTGCCCAGTGTATGGCCTTTTGTTGTAGCAGCCCAAACAACTAAGACAACTTTCAATCTTGTTTTAAAAATCAAATCACATGGTCGTTCTAAAACTCAAGGGTAGGGAGGCAGGAAAATGCAATACCACTGCCTGCCCAAAAGAAGAAACTGAAGATATGTGGACAATATTCCTATATAATGTTTATCATTGTCTACATTTCTATGGACAAAATATTTGGTTCACTCTTTATCCTATAAAAAAGTAGACTCAGTGTCTTCCCACAAGTGATCTTCCCATCCATCCAAATCATCAGGCTCAAAGTCTATCATCTCTGTATAATGCACCTAGTTTCTGGATCAGGGAAAATAAAGAGCAGCTTCTATATTGTGTCATACTATACCTCTTCTTGGCTTGGATATTCATGAATGAAAAAAGACAAATATCTATATTCACCCTATAGTCTCTCTCCAAATACAAAATTAACTGATAAAAAATGAAAAGGGGCTAGGATGCATCACAGTTATTGATTCAAAGGAAATTGAAATCTAAGTGGAAAGATGTTTCTTTGGCCCTGTGTCTTGGCAGTTTCTAGTGTAAGTTTAACTCTGTTACCTGGTAGAGATTTCTAGTCATTTTCCTCCATACTCTTGACTCCACCCTCTTGAAAATTCTTCATTTTCTATCCATATTAAGTCATCTGAAGTGCACATTTACTGAGGGTTTCCCTTTTCATGCCTCCCTTCTTCTAGGAGCTTGGGGTCTAGGGATTATTATAAGAATTAAACATTTACAGATGGTTTTGATGTTGTTTAGTTGTTTATTCATTTTTATTTGGTTCAAAATTATGTTTTTCTAATTTTTGTCTGTTCAAAGTCACTGTGAATTTGTTAATGTATTCGTCTGTTCTCATTCTGCTAATGAAGACATACCCAAGACTGGGTAATTTATAAAAGAAAGAGATTTAATTTACTCACAGTTCCACATGGCTGGGGAGGCCTCACTATCATGGAAGAAGGCAAATGGGGAGCAAAGTCATGTCTTACATGATGCCAGGCAAGAGAACATGTGCAAGGGAACTCCCCTTTATAAAACCATCAGATCCTGGGAGACTTATTCACTATCATGAGAACAGCATAAGAAAGACTCACCTCTACAATTCAATTACCCCCCCACCGGGTCTCTCCCACAACACGTGGGATTTATGGGAGCTACAATTCAAGATGAGATTTGAGTGGGTTCACAGCCAAACCATATCACTTAATAAGACTTTATCAATAATTTGATTTCATTCTGTTTCCATAGCTAATGGCCACACCATATTCACTGAAACTACTTCCAAAAATTTTGTGTCTTTCATATTACACTGTGTCTTTTGACCTAATTGTGTATACCTTGGGCCTATCAAAGCAAGAACCACACTTTCAGTAACTTTTCTGTGAGCCATGTTTTTCAAATGAAAGTGTGGAATAAATAAATACCACCACGATCAACGTAGTTGTGATAATGTGTCCGGAATTGGTGGGTTCTTGGTCTCACTGACTTCAAGAATGAAGCCGCGGACCCTCGCGGTGAGTGTTACAGCTCTTAAGGTGGTGCGTCTGGAGTCTGTCCCTTCTGATGTTCAGATGTGTTAGGAGTTTCTTCCTTCTGGTGGGTTCGTGGTCTCGCTGGCTCAGGAGTGAAGCTGCAGACCTTCACGGTGAGTGTTACAGCTCTTAAGGCAGCGTGTCTGGAGTTGTTCATTCCTCCCGGTGGCCTCGTGGTCTCAACTGGGCTCAGGAGTGAAGCTGCAGACCTTCGCAGTGAGTGTTACAGCTCATAAAAGCAGCGTGGACCCAAAGAGTGAGCAGTAGCAAGATTTATTGCAAAGAGCGAAAGAACAAAGCTTCCACAGTGTGGAAGTGGACCCAAGCGGGTTGCCAATGCTGGGTCGGGCAGCCTGCTTTTATTCTCTTATCTGGCCCCACCCACATCCTGCTGATTGGCAGAGCCCAGTGGCCTGTTTTGTCAGGGCGCTGATTGGTGCGTTTACAATCCCTGAGCTAGATACAAAGGTTCTCCATGTCCCCATCAGATTAGTTAGATACAGAGTTTCCACACGCAGGTTCCCCAAGGCCCCACCAGAGCAGCTAGATACAGAGTGTCGATTGGTGCACTCACAAACCTTGAGCTAAACACAGGGTGCTGATTGGTGTATTTACAATCCCTGAGCTAGATATAAAGACTCTCCACGTCCCCACCAGACTCAGGAGCCCAGCTGGCTTCACCTAGTGGATCCCGCACTGGGGCTGCAGGTGGAGCTGCCTGCCAGTCCTGCGCCATGCGCTCGCATTCCTCAGCCCTTGGGTGGTCGATGGGACTGGGCGCCGTGGAGCAGGGGGTGGTGCTCGTCAGGGAGGCTCGGGCGGCACAGGAGCCCATGGAGTGGGTGGGAGGCTCAGGCATGGCGGGCTGCAGGTCCCGAGCCCTGCCCCACGGGAAGGCAGCTAAGGCCCAGTGAGAAATCGAGCGCAGCGCCGGTGGGCTGGCACTGCTGGGGGACCCAGTACACCCTCTGCAGCCACTGGCCCGGGTGCTAAGTCCCTCATTGCCCGGGGCCAGCAGGGCTGGCTGGCTGCTCCGAGTGCGGGGCCCACCAAACCCACGTCCACCCAGAACTCCAGCTGGCCCGCAAGCGCCGCATGCAGCCCCGGTTCCTGCTAGTGCCTCTCCCTCCACACCTCCCTGCAAGCTGAGGGAGTGGGCTCCAGCCTTGGCCAGCCCAGAAAGGGGCTCCCACAGTGCAGTGGGGGGCTGAAGGGCTCCTCAAATGCCACCAAAGTGGGAGCCCAGGCAGGGGAGGTGCTGAGAGCAAGCGAGGGCTCTGAGGACTGCCAGCACGCTGTCACCTCTCAATAACAGTGAGTGTAATGGCCATACTCTTGATTTGCTTTTTGCCTTATCAATCAGTGGCTACAAATATTATTCAATTTTATATTTTACTGATTTTTATAAGGTAGTAACTTGCCTATTCTTGCTTCATAACTCTTGAATGGCGTGTACAATCTGTAGTTGTTTTCATCCCCGCCTGTTTCCCTCCCAACACTCGGCTTTTTCCCAACATGCCCCCCTTCTCTTTTTTGTAAAAGAGAAGGTATTATTATTACTATCATTATTACTAGCATAAAAGGTAACCTCTTTTAATTGAGCAAGGCGATTGCAGGCTGTGCAGCCCTTAATTGCCGGTTGGTGATCCGGCTTCATTTTTCTTAGCCCTTATTCAAACTGGAGTCACTCTGGTTTGAATGCTTCCCACGTATCTCCCCTTTCCCTTTTTACAAGAGGACCCTTAATCCTCGGGGTTGCAGAAGGATGAGGGTCCGTCTTCTGTAACTTCTTCATGCTGAAGAGGGGCAATGATATTCCTGCCTAACTGTTAGGGTCTCTTGTATTCAGGGTAGAAGGAGCTGAGTCAGAAAGCATTGGTCCATTAAGCATCATGACTCCGGTTGGTGTTCGTTCCATCTTCGCATTCAGATTCAACTGACTCATGGCTCGTACTGGGGGAACCTGGTCCATGGTTGGGATCCATGGGTCCCTTCTGTCTCCCATTCCATGGTTGTACACATCTTGAGGGCATCCACACGGTTTGTTCATCTCCTGCAAAAACACAAGCATACCCTCACTCCCACGTTAGTAAATCTACTGAAACAGAAGCAAAAACTTTTGTGGTTGTAGCTGGGAGGCCACCAATGAGAAACAGGCCCCTTCTAACAGAAGGCACACAGAAAGCAAATAGAGGCTTAAAAGCAATCCTTAAACCTTCAATTTGCACTGTACAAGTGGGTCCACTAGATGCTGTGGCTCATGATAGATCTTCAGACGTTTGGTGGGCACCCACACAGGTGCCCTGATTGTCACCTGGAGAGACACAAGCAAATCCTCTTCCCCATATAATTATCTTTCCTTTTTCTCACCTCTTTGTATGTGACCACATCTTTTTCTAAGGCCTGCAGGATTAAGATGAGTTAAAGAATGGAATGCTTGTGCATCAGCAAAGACCGCAGACAACAGTGCATCTGTTTAAAGGACCAAAAGGTCCTGTTGGAGAGAAAAGAAAGAGCATTTTTATCCTTACCTTCCTCCCCTCTATTCCTTTTATATTTACCCTTTGAGCCATAGCTAATTTCCATAATTCAGAATGTTCTTGTCTGTCCCTGCAAATCTCTGCTAGTCTTTGCTAGTCTCTACTTTTGTACCTTTTTAGGGCACTGATTTTATATTGCTAGTCTTTGCTTTTGTACCTCTTTAGGGCACTGATCAGTACCTCTTTAGGGCACTGACCTTATGTTGCTAGTCTTCATCTGTATCTCTACTTAGCTCTATCTCTCTACTTAGCTCTATTTACCTCTATCTCTATTTATCTCTATCTCTCTTAGTTCTGCTTACTTACTTATCTCTGCTTCTTTCCTGGAAACCTTTTTTATGCCCTGGGTAGAGCTCAGAAATCCACACTTTAAGCCTCAGCAAGAGACAAAACAGGGACCTCGGACCCGGGACCATATTGAAGGAACAGGAAGTGCTCTCCCCTCCCCAAAGCAGGAAAACCAGAGTTTGGCCCTTGCAAATTTCTACTGCACATGAGCGTCATCCTGAATTTCCTGGAATAAATTGATCATGGCAATTTTAGCAAAACAATGACCATTGTAACAGTATAGACTCCATAAAGAACATACCAATGTTTTCAATGAATTTGTGGTTGTAGTTGATGACCACTGATTTCACTTCAGAAAGTCCAAATATAGCCCAGAACAGTGTATTAAAACTCTGTTGTGAAGGCTTCATTTTGTTTTGCACCAATGTAGTATGAGTAGAGGTTGAACATTCCCATCATAAACACCACAATGAACACATTCAGCCCATATCATGCCTGTGTGCTCATTGAATCTGTTTTTCTCTAGCAGAGGCATGTTAACCATGAAACTGAAGCTTCAAGATGACTTTACTTGCCCTACGCAAAGCAACCCATGATTTATTTTTTCCAGGGACTACTGCCAACCAGGCCTGTGTGTCAATCTCTAAGCATCCAACAGCAGGTCTACTGTACAAATAGGTCTTTTGTCAGACACTTGATTAACCCAATATACAGCCTTTCCTGTTGGATTAGTACTACCAAAGCCTCCTGTTCTTTTCACTGTGCTGCTTCCCAGCTTTATGTCAACAACTGAGCAATTCTTTCTCCTAGGGAAGCAGACCAGAGTTGAGGAACTGATACCTAATTGAATTTCTCCAGTATAATCAGAACCAATCATTCCCGTATGCACAGTGACACCTTTCGAATTTAGACTAGACTTTCCAAGTAATAGACCAACTGTTCCTGAGGGCAAGGGTCCCCCAACTCCTGTGGGGACCCTTTCCGGCGGCTCCCCAGGAAGCAGGGAAACAGGAACTGCACTGCAAAGGTCGAGGGCAGCACTGCCCAGCGCGGCAGGAGACAATTGTTGCCATTTGTAAGGGCACTGGCTGTGCCGGATATGCCTCGCTTGAGGTGCTCTCAGAATAAACAAGCCTCAGATTCCACTGGGTCTTAATACTACTAATTGCTCCAGGTTTTAATGTTGCAAATACAGGAGTGGTAAGTTTTGTAGCTAATTAATTTTCTCGCCCATTAAAGGGAGAGAGAGGAGGTGGCCATTCACTTAATTCAGCAGGTGGAGCCGACAGGCTAGTAAAACATACTATTTTCAGTTTCCCTTTCTTTTCTTTAATTTCCTCCAGTTTCTGTTCCTCACATTAAGAATCTGAAGTTAGTTTTTATACTCGTCCTCCTCTTCCTCATCTGAATCTGCCTCATTATCTGTTTGAAATGGTTCAAGAGCTGCTTTTATTAGTGCCCACTTTGACCAAACCAAGACTGGAATTTTTGCTCCATCTTCATATCCTTTTTTTAAAATCTCTGCCAATTCTCTCCCATTCATCCAACTCCATAGTCCCTTGTTCCGGGAACCATGGGCAAAACTGCTTTACTGCACTAAAGAGTGAGTGATAACAAATTTTGAGTACTAACTTTCACTCCCCCTCTTCATGATAAATACCTTAAGAAAATTTTAAATAACCAGAATGTCTGTTTTCATTTTGTCCCATTGTTACCCTCGTTCTTCCGATTGCTCAGTTTTCTCACCAAGCTTCTTTTAGACGTCCTCAGGTGTCCTTTGATGGTGGGTCCTCCGCTTTCACACGCTCTGGCATTCCTTCACCGGGGTCTTTGTCGCCCCACATTGGGCAGCCAGGAATGTTGAAGTGACCAGACCCAACACCAGGTCGTGGGGTGACAAAGTCAAGAGGAGTCAAAGGATTGAGAAAAAGACAGTTTGAGAGAGAAATGTGGGCACCAGGGGACCACTGTGATTGTGGAGGCTGTGAAGGCACTGAGTTCTGGGAGCCCACACTATTTATTGGTAATCCAACAAAGAAACAGGTGGTGAGAATGTGGAGGCCAAAAGGGCAGGCACACGATGTGACTGTTTAGCATTTGCTCTGCTACTTGAGATAATGGAGAGCAGGTTCCTTTAACTCAAGATACAATTGATCCTGGGAGAGCAAGGAGCAAGGAGCCAGCAAGTCTAGACACATTCCAGAGGACATTATGCAAGCCCTGACTCAGTTTCCCTCCCAACACTCAGCTTCTTTCCAACACTTGGAGTTATGAGAAATGTACTTTGGGCATTATTTCTATATCAACTAACTTCCCTACTGGTTATCGTCAACGTGGTTTATTAACTTCTTTTGTGATATATTTCCCCGTTTATATTGGTCAAATAATTTTGGATCTGCCCACTCACTTCTTCCTACTTGATGGTCATTTACCATCATGGTAAATGAGAAACTGCTGTGTTTTTTCTCTCCCTTCAACAGATACACTCTTTTTCCACCTGTTAAATTTGAATTGCCCCGCAATGATTTTGGGTCAATGGGAAATTAGGATACATGACGCTGGAAAAAGATTGACATTCACTTACACATGGGAACATCAACTCTTGCTGCTCTTAGGATGCTCTGCCATGGCCCTGGAATCAACATAAACGTTGTAAAACAACAGAGACATGTGCTCAGTGACCTCTGTTGTCTCAGACAACACCCAACCAAGTCAAAGAGTCATAGTCTCCTTCCTTCATCTTCCCTGATACACCTAATTCTCTGATCTGTGGGGAGAAAAATGGAACCTTGAGGAAGCCAAAAAGCCAAGGAATATGCGTTTTTTTTGTTGTTTTTTTTTTTTTTTTTTTCCCAAGACGGAGTCTCGCTCTGGAGTGCAGTGGCGCGATCTTGGCTCACTGCAAGCTCCGCCTTCCGGGTTCACGCCATTCTCCTGCCTCAGTCTCCAGAGTAGCTGGGACTACAGTCGCCCACCACCACGCCTGGCTAATTTTTTGTGTTTTTTAGTAGAGGCAGCTGCTCTTTTGATCTGTTGCATGAATCATTGCAAGAGGTGAATACAGGCTGAACTCTTACCCTTAGTTGGGCTCTTTTTGTTAATTGACTACCTCAAAACGTGGAAGCAAAGCTCTCCCCCACTCTCGGATACTTTCAGATTGATATAACCCAGGTGACATAAGATGGGAGCTTCAACCCTGTGCATTTAATAATAAAATTAAAGCCTAAAAATCAAAACCAAAGTCATCCTAGAAATAAACCACTTTTAAAACCCTGGCATAGCATACTTATCAAATGTCTGCTGTTATTAAGGGATATTAAGGGATAATAGACACCATACATGTATATTTTTCCAGTCTTTTGCATCACCATAATCTGTAATGCTTACTGCTTTTTGAATTTGGATACAGTGCCAAAAAATGTAATTTTTGTTACTGCATCAAATGGTATTTATGCTTTTTTTCAATGCTCCCTTTATAGATATGCCATGAAAAGGTAGAATATCACATAAATCTATCATAAATTGTTCTACCAGTGTCATGACTCGCAATATGACAAATAGTTTGGAATTGTTTCTATAATTTCTCATTTTACTTTGTCGTTATTGCAAATTTTCTAAAAGATTATTTCATGTTTGCAACAACAGGCAGGAAAATGAGAGGTGAAGGCTTGTGCCTCCCCTGAGAAGTCATCTTCCCATAGTCTCAGGCATATAGAACATAAATAAGGAAGCCACCTAGGTACCCAATGTTGATCAGAAGCAAACAGTAAAGGGCAAATTTATGCCCTTACTTCTGTTAGTAAGTACTTACGAAGGTACTTACTAACTTCTGTTAGTAAGTAACAGAAACAATCTGGTTCAATCCCATTACCAGTCCAGCAAATAATAACATTAGAAAAATAAGGATATATTTCCAAACCTAAAGACTAGACATTGTTTCAGCACACCTAATCTTTGCAATGGAAGATGGTTCAGATAGATGTTTTGCATAAAACAACTTCAGCTCCATCCATGTTGCTGCAAAGGCCATGATCTCATTCCTTTTTATGGCTGCATAGTATTCCATGGTATATATGTACCATATTTTCTTTATCTAGTCCACTGTTAATGGACATTTGAGTTGATTCCATGTCTTTGCTATTGTGAATAGTGCTGCAGTGAACACACTCATGCATATACCTTTATAATAAAATGATTTATACTATTTTGGGTATATACCCAGTAATAGGATTGCTGGGTCTAATTGTATTTCTGTCTCTAGGTCTTTAAGGAATACTAACATGGGAACAGAGAAACAAACACCACTGCATGGTCTCCCTTATAAGTGGGAGCTGAATATGCACACATTGATGGGGGAACAACACACACTGGGGTCTGTTGGGGGTGCTGTGGGTGGAGGGTGATCATCAGGAAGAATAGCTAATGGATGCTAGGCTTAATACCTAGGTGATGAGGTGATCTGTGAAGCAAACCATCATGGTGCCCATTTACCTATGTAGCCTGTGTTCCCTGCACATCCTGCACCTGTACCCCTGAAATTAAAGTAAAAGTTAAAGAAAAAAAAAAACACTTCGATACAGTAGTCACTCATATTTTGCTTTCTATGATAACTGTATCCCAACCTTTTTAGAATCAATACCTGTTCACTTGGGTTTCCACCTGTCTGGTATGTAAGAATGCAGATTCCAGAGCCTGACATGAAATTTCATAGAAGGGGTGAGGAAAGACTTGTGTCTGAGCACCCGTATTTTTTGGCTGACTTAAGGATCAAGCCCCCGAGACCTCTTCTTCAAGAGACTCAGAGCATGAGAATGAGTAGTAAATCCAACTGAAGTTTGGTGAAGTGATGTCTCAACTACGAAGTTTGTTTTTGAGGGTAAGCAGAGCATAAAGATAAACCCCTGTTCCCTGTTGCCCAACAGAAACTCACAGGAATTTAGCAGACCTGTCTTGCCCTTTTCCTTCCCTTGTCAGAGGAAGTAATTGAGAGTGCTCTAATTATCTCTGCTTTAGTTTTAGCATTTTGCCCAGTTGGCTCATCTTGCACAATAGCAGCACAGAAGTGCATTCCTGAAGTCTAAAGGTAATCTGGCTAGTGTTTTGGCATCAATGTCTCCAACATTGCGTGTTGACACTACTCCAAAGTGTGTAGACATTTCCTCTGCAGTCTTCTGCTAAGTGTTCTGGACAGCAAGCATACTGCTCTCAAACTCATTGTCCGCTATTCACTTCACTGGGGATTTGGCTGTTCTATTACTATCATCAGGAAGTCATCTGGTTTCACATTACCAATGCAACTACATCACATGCATTAAATCTGTAAGTCCTTGAGTCAAACAAATGAACAACCTGAATTTACCTAGTAAAAATTAGTAGTGAAAATAAAAGAAAATATAGTATAAGTGTCTGTGGGGTGAAGCATGGCAAACGCTAACTTATGTTAAAAGGATATAAGTTAAAAGAATAAAATCTGGAGCTATACGCTCTGAGTCTGCAGTCTTTAACAGGAAAATCTGATGTGGCTTTAAGAAAAGTGTGTAGCTTCTCTCTGTCACAGTTGATGTGTAAAGTGGGAATAATAAGTGTAACCACCTCAAAGGGTGGTTAGGACTAAACACACAGGAGAATGCTTGGCCCATTTCTAATTTATTTCTAATAATAATAATAATTTTATTTACATTTCTAATTTATTTCTCTGACTTTAATTTTTTCTCTAGGTTTATAATGAGAATGATAGCCCTCAATTTGCATAACTTTTAGAGTTGAAGTAATTCAACATCCAAGTGCAAAGATGTAATGTGGGAAAGAGAACTATATACCTAGGTTTTCCAAATGAAGTTAGTATTATTAGGAGGTTTATAGCAATCGTAAAAATATATGATTTATGTAATGATAATAATATTCAAAATAGCTTATTTTGGAGATCTGCTTCTGTAGTGTTGAAGTACTTGTTACGCATGGGAGATTTTTAAAAAAAATTAATCAGAGAATAATAACCAAAAAAAATGAAGAATGGTTACCTTAAAATATTCTGTGACCAGTCACTGTTACTCAATGAAAATAATTTCAGAAGCAATTTATTAATCAATATGCTATGTTTTGATTATAAACTGAGATTATTTACTTAAATAAAAAAGTTATTACTATTTGACCTTTATTTGAAAATGGAGAAGAGGAAATCTATGATATTACAGTGTAAATATCAGACTTATAAAGATTTATAAAAATTGCAGAGGTAAAATACTAACCTAGGGTAATACAATTCAAGTCCATTTTAATAAATGTGTTACTTTGAAAGGAAATACACACTTATTAGGTACCTAATATTGGTCAGTTATTGTATTAGTTGAAACCAAAACATTATTAAGTTTAATGTAAATGCTGACTCTGTGCAGTAGGTGTTAACTTTTTTCTCTCCCATATTTACACATAAAGAAAATAACATTAAATATAGGGAGAATAACAAGATTCAGAGTTGATGTGTGGCTGTCTGGTCAGAGCCAAATCTACCTTAAGACTCAATAACAAAATAAAAATATCTAATTTGTACTATAGACATAATACTGAAAATTTTCCAATGGAGTATTTTCAATTTTCAGAGAGTATTTAATTTTTATTACATTAAAAATAAAAATTTTCAGCAAAGGATAAAAAAGCCTTTTGTTATTACATGATTCTTCTGTGTTAGCATTTACATAGTTTTTAAAGTGACTTTCAGGAGTAGCACCTCCTTTTTCTTAGATTCTAAGCAGTCTTTGCTCTAAAGAACTACAGATATTGACATATCCATGCATTTAGGTAATGAAAATCCTGGTGGCCTACTGAACATTTGATTTCTTTCACTATAGAGATTTTGTTTTCAAAGTAAGTCAGTTTGGTACCTGGGAGTAGATAATGCTAATAACCTTTGTAACATGCAATGACCTTAATAGTAGCATTATTCTAAAATATAACCATTTTTTTAATAATGTAAAAGCCTCATTTATTTTATTTTGTGAGAATTAGTGCTCGTCAATATATTTACATTGTTTTGTCTTCATATATAATTTCAGTTCCACTTTTGTCCATTATAGATGGTGATTTTTGGTAGAATAAAGTGTTTGTGCCTACTTTAGTCACTTGGCTTTTCCTCAGGTGATGGCATATGTATGCAGGTGGACACCTGCTATGTAGAATGAATTCAATCAATCATACCACACCCACTCATAGCAACTTCATGATCGCATTAGATGGACCAGGGCAAAGGGGCAGGAATGTCAAATAAGGAGGCCGAATTTGATATGGTTCTGCAGGTAGAGTATCAAACTGGATTCTCTAGAGAACATGTTAGATTACAAAATCCTCTGAAAGCAAATAGCAAGCATATTATACGTAGAATCAGAAGAAGAATATGGAGGCAGGAGGTCTTTAGATTTTTTTTTTTTTTGAGAGAGAGTCTCGCTGTGTCGCCCAGGCTGGAGTGCAGTGGCGCGATCTCTGCTCACTGTGAGATCCGCCTCCCGGGTTCACGCCATTCTCCTGCCTCAGCCTCCTGAGTAGCTGGGACTACAGGCGCCCGCCACCAGGCCCGGCTAATTTTTTGTATTTTTAGTAGAGACGGGGTTTCACCGTGTTAGCCAGGATGGTCTCGATCTCCTGACCTCGTGATCCGCCCGCCTCTGCCTCCCAAAGTGCTGGGATTACAGGCGTGAGCCTCTGCACCCGGCCGATATTTTTAATTTTATCAATATTTTCTAGATTCAGTAACTCATTTGTTCATTCATTAATACATACAATTCTCTAGATATTAATCGAGCTTCTACTCTACATAAGAAACTATGCAAGGTCCTGGTAATACAGAGATTAAAAAACCAGTTTTCTTGTTGCTAAAGGAGTTCAAAATGGGCTGCAAATTAAATTCCCTCTTAAAGCTATCCTATAGTGTATCAAGGGGTGCATATAAAGTGAAAGTAATTAGGAGGCTGCATGTAAGAACAGAACAAAAATTCACCCCATGTCCACATAAGAGGTCATGGGTGATGTGAGGAAGAATGGAAAAGGAGAGGAAAATAAAGAAAAACCTCAAATAGAGGTAGTATTTATACTGCATCTTCAGGTATAAAATAGGAATTTGCATAGGTGGATGAAAAGAGACTGGTTAAGGCACGGAATACAGAGATGTTTGGCATGACCTATTTATTGTGCATTGTCTTTGGAACTGGGAATATAATGAATATGGTAGATATGTCTGCTGTCATGGAGCATATAGTCAACTGTAGTTGTGCCAGATAATTTCCACTTGCTCTTCCAGATCCACCATCTGTCCTCTGCTTCATTCAATGCCTTGCAAAGATTATTTCTACGGGATTCATCATTCAGGCATCCTTAACCTCTGTCTTGGAATTAGAGTTAGCTAGTGAGAAGTCCTGGGAGGAAACCTTGGTGTAGATGGAAAGGAGGATCACGGGACTTAGCATTCACATCCCAACCTCCGATCTCTCTGTACCAAGTGGAAGTTTTGGCAGAGACTGCTCACCTTAGCTCCCGATACAATCTGGCCCGAACTGCATTCCTAGAGCCAGTGGCAGTCCCCAGAGTATTATATGTAGGAAATCAGATATCTTTCCTGGCAAAATACAAAGTGACTCTGCACATAAACAAGATTGTCATAATTCTGATTAAAAGTGCTGAAATGCTACCCAGTTTATTCAAAGTAAAGCCTAAGTCATTATAACGGTCAATATGCCCTGTGATATTCCCCTCTTCCCTCCTCCATCTCCTAAAACACACACATCTACATCCCTGACCACACCCCTTCTCTCACTCCTCTCTCTCCACATCCTGCTTTTTTTTTTTTTTTGCCATTTCTCAAATTTGTCAAACCATTCATATTTTAGGATGCATCAGATTATGCGCCTAATATTCCTTTTGTTTGAAATGTTCATCTTATTTCTGCAAAGCTTCTCCTCGTTCTTCCTTCAGTTCTCCGTCCAAATGCTACCTCCCCACAGAGGTCACCCTAGACCATCCTATGCCTGTCATTTCTCACAGTCATTACCCTGCTTCATTTTTCTCCTTCGCACTTATTATCAAATTATTTCTTATCTTTATATGAGTTTATTGGAATTTATTTTATCTTCTCTGGCTAAAAGAAGCATGAAGTAGAAACATTTAGTTTTGTTTTATTCACTACCATGTAATCATTATTAATACTTTTGAAACAAATTAATGAACAAAATGCCCATGCTTGTACTGAATAGCATTGAGTACTATATCTGACTCAGTGTATAATTTGTCTTCAAATTAGTCTTACTCATCATCTTATAATAAATTATTACTTCAGTATATCAAAATCTCATCTTTTCCGTTCAGACGTATATGTTAAATACAATTTTGGTGTTCTGAGATTAATTTTATTCTTTATTATAGTAAATTTTTCAGTACTCTATCACTGAGACATTATGTTGATAAATTGTCTTTTTCTCTCCCTAAAGACTTGTTTATTTTATATTAGCATTGGAATGATTATGTACCTGGCAGAATTCCAAAGTACCAGTTATTTCTGTTGGGCATTTATCATTTAAAAAGATTCAAATAATAGGATCAAATATGTTTTATATTTATATACGTATTTACCATTTCCAGTGTTCTTAATCTTGTGTGTCCAGGTTAAGATTTCCATATAATATTTTCCTTCTGCCTTCAGGACTTCCTTTAATATTTCTTTTAGGGAAGGTCTGCTGATGATTAATTCTCTATTTTGCTTTTGTTTTTGAATTATATTCTCACTAAGATTCTAAGTTGACAACTCTTTGTCCTTCAGTATTTTAAGATGAACTTCTGCTGTCTTCTGTCTGATATTTTCTACAAAAGAAATCAGCTTTAATCCCTATGTCTTCCTTCCTATCTAATGTATCTTTTTTTATTCTGCTTGTTTATAATATTTTCTTGTTAACACTAGATTTAAGTCATTTCTTTAAAATGTACCCGTTGAAATCTTCTTCATGTTTTTTATTGGAGTTGACTGAGCATTTTGCGCGTGTGGTTTTATAGTTTTCATCATTTTTTAAAATTTGGCTATTAAGTTTTAAACATTTTTCCTCCCATCTGCGTTTTTCAGAGTTTCTGTTGCACAGATATTAACCCACTTAAATTTGTCTCACAGTTTAACGATGCTTTATTAAATTTTTAAAAATTTTTTCTCTGTGTGTAATTTTGTATAGTTTCTCCTGCTAATTTTTCCGGTTTAGTATATGACAGTAATCCCATACAATGTAAATTTTATCTCACATGTTGTATTATTTCTCTACAGGTGTTCGGTTTAAGTTTTTTGAATGTTTGGAATATGTTGAATGTCCTTATCTAATAATGCTATTACTTGTTATTTCTAGGTCCTAGAAATACTTTTTCTAAAGAATGATTTTTCTCATTAATATATGTCATAATTTCCAAACATTTTGCATGCCTAGCAATTTTTGGTGGGATGCCAGGGATTGTGAATCTCAACTTTTGGATGCTGATTATTTTCGTATTTTGAATTCTGATAAATGTTATTGAGCTTTGTTGTGAAATGTAATAAATCACATGGAAACACTCTGATCTTTTCAAGGCTTGCTTTTAAGCTTTGTTAGGTAAGAGAGCAGCCACTACTTCTCTGCCCTGACTCCAAGCTTCATCTTCTCAATTCAGGGAGATCATTAGCGTTGGCTTCAGTGCCCTCTTTCTTGGACTTAGACTGAAAACTCCTTTTGAAAGTGGGCTTGAGCAATCATAGACTTAACCTGTGTTGTTGCCCCTGTCTCAGGGATCACTGTTCTGTGCTGCCTGATATGCATTGTCTGCACACTGTTATTTCATATATTTGTTTATATACATTTTAAATATGTTAAAAAAAAGTCTCAACTGGATGTAGACTCTCCATAGAAAAACTATAATTTTGTAGGTCATTTGGATTATTTTGATTTATTTGTTTGAAGTTGATTTTCTGGAAGTATGCTAGCAGTTAAGCTGATTTTACTCTTGGACAAGAACATAAGTGCAAGATGAGTGGGATATTACCACATTCTTTAAAAATATCATATAATAATTATCTTGTAAGCTTTACTAACTTCTTAGCTTAAGTATGCTGGCCTTTTTTCTATAATAGGATGATAGAGTTAACCAGCCATCAGTAGGGAATGTGCTGTGAGCTATTTCCTTTCAGTAATTAGTAAGGTGATTGAATATCCACTAAAAAAATGTTGGGAAATTTGAAAAGACCACTTGGGAGACTGTGTGCATTAAGCAAGCATAGTCTTTTTATAATCACTATGCTTTAAACCTAATTAAACTCGGGAGAATCCAATTAAGTAAAAGGAAAACAATAGGAAATAAAATGATTTGAGGATGAGTTTGAGACTGAATCCAAAATTCTTTAAGAGTTAAACCCTATGATTAAAGTTGTAGGAAGGCGTAAATGGCAAACTGAATTTTAAATGAAATTAAAAATTCCACATTTCTACTAGATGAAATTGTTAAAGACAGATTTGAAAAAAATACTGATTTAAATACTGTAATTGGTTTCACTACTTCAAGGATACTTATATTACTGGCCTCTTTCTAACATTAGTGAATAAAATAAATATATTTAAATATTTTAGCTCTACTCTAGCAGCTTAAAAATTTTTACATATTTATAGTATACAATATGATGGGGTTGTTTGTTTGTTTGTTTTGAGACAGAATCTCACTCTGTCGCCCAGGCTGGAGTGCAAAGGTGCAATCTCGGCTCACTGCAACCTTCGCCTCCCAGGTTCAAGTGATTATCCTGCCTCAGTCTCCCTAGTAGCTGGGATTACAGGTGCCTGCCACCAGGCCCAGCTAATTTTTTTTGTATTTTTAATGGAGACGAGGTTTCACCAGATTAGCCAGGCTGGTCTCGAACTCATGACCTCAGGTGATCCAGCTGCCTCGGCCTCCCAAAGTGCTGGGATTACAGGCGTGAGCCACTGCGCCTGGCCAATATGATGTTTTGATATATATTATGGAGTGGGTAAATCAAACAATTAAACATATATATGTATGTCTGTGTGTGTGTGTATGTGTGTGTGTATGTATATATATATATATATATATATATATATATATATATATATATATTCAGATTTTGTTTTAGACTGGGGGGACATATGTAGGATTTTTACATGGGTGTATTGGGCCAAGGTAGTGAGCAAAGTATGCAATAAGTAGTTTTTCAACTCACGTTCCACCTGTCTCCTTCCCCACTCTAGTACTCCTCAGTGTCTATTGTTCCCAGGTTTATGTCCATGTGTGCTCAATGTCTAGCTCCCACTCATACAAGAGAACATGTGATATTTAGTTTTCAGTTTCTGCATTAATTATCTTAGGAATATGGCCTCCAGCTGCATCATTTTCTTGCAGAGAACATTATTTCATTTTTAATGGCTGTATAGTATTCCATGGTGTATATATATCACCTTTTCTATAATCAATACACCATTAATGGGCACTTATGTTGATTTCATATCTTTGCTATTGTGAATTGTATGGTGATGAACAGACAAGTACATGTGTCTTTTTGTTATAATTATATATTTTCCTTTGGGTATACACCTGGTAATGGGATTGCTGGGTTGAATAGTAGCTCTGTTTTAGGTTCTTTGAGAAGTCTCCAAACTGCTTTCCACAGTGCCTGAAATAATTTACATAAAGAATTTATATTGTGAAAATGACCATTCTGCCCAGAACATTTTATGGATTTAATGCTGTTCCTAGCAAGCATACCAACATCATTCTTAACAGAATAAGGAAAAACAACTCTAAGATTCATATGGACCCAAAAAAGATCCTGAATAGTCAAAGCAATCTGAAAAAAAGGAACACAGCTAAAGGCATCACACTATCCAACTTCTAACTATATTATAAGGCTACAGTAACCAAAACAGCAGGGTACTGACACAAAAACAGACACATACATCAATAGAACAGAATTGAAAACTAGAGCATAATAGAAAAATAAAAACAAAGCCACACATCTACAACCAGCTGATCTTCAACAGGGCTGAGAAAAATAAGCAATGGAGAAAGGACTCCCTATGTAATAAATGGTGCTGTCATAAGTGGCTAGCCATATGCAGAAGAACAAAATTAGACACCTTCACCATATACAAAAATTAATTCAAGGTGGATTAAATATTTAAATGTAAGACCTCAAATTATAAAAATCCTAAAATAAAACCTGGGAAATAACCATACTGACATCACTCTTGGGAATAAATTTATGGTCAAGTCCCCAAAAGCAATTGCAACAAAAAACAAAATTGTCAAGTGGGATCTAATTAAACTGAATAGATTATGCACAGCACAATCAAACATCAACAGAGTAAACAGGCAATCTACAGAATGGGAAAAAATATTCATAAACTATGTATTCAACAAAGGTCTAATATTCAGAATCTAAAAGGAACTTAAATAAATAACCAAAAAAAATTAAAAATGAACAAAAGACATGAACGGATACTTCTTAAAAGGAGACATACAAGTGGCCAAGAAACATATGAAACAATGCTCATCATCACTAATCATCAGAGAAATGCAAATCAAAGCCACAATTGTCACAGGATTCTTGGGGTTGTCAGTTCACCAGCAAGAAACTGCTGTGGCCAGCAGTGCCTTCTGCCTGAGTATTGCTCACACCAGCTGGGCTCATTCCTCCCACTCATCCTGGCAGGCTGCACTCTGCTTATACTACTGGCCTGGATCCCACACCTGCCAAGGATGAGCCAAGTGTGGAGCGGGAAGGGGTATGTGAGTGAGCAAGCATGGGGTCCTGCCACTGTGCACAGACAGGCATGACAGCTGCTGGAGTCAGACAGATGGGCCCAGGCACTAGAACAGGTGCTATCTTCATGTGAGGCTGTGGCTGGACCAGATGTACTGCACATGGCTTCTGCTGTGGACTTCCATGTCTGGACAAAGGGAATGCAGTGGTGTCTGGAAGCTTGGAGACACTGGGAACCACAGAGCTCAAAAGAGGGTGTCAAAGCCCTGGCTCTGGGAGCCCCTAGGTCTGGGTTCTGCAAAGGGCTTCAGCTCTTCTCTCCTTCCCATCGCCTGCAATGTGGCATGTGTTGGGGGGAGTGTGTTTTTGCCCTGTTTGTTACAGCAATTTTAGTACTGCCATTCAGCAGTTCCCAAGTTCTTGTCACATGTCCAGGAAGAATGAGGTATGTGAATAACTAGAGAATGATCAAGGCAAAGAGGAGCTTCATTCAGCAACAGAACAGCTCTCAGGAGCCCCAAAGTGGGTAGCTCCTTTCCACAGGCAGGTTGTCCTGACGAGTGCCCAGCTCTCACTGGAGATGAGACTCGCAGTGGGAAGCTCCTTCCCACAGCTGGTAGTCCTGATATCTGTGTGTGTCTGGCTGAGTCTGGGGTTTTTATGGGCTCAGAAGGGAGAAAGTGTATGTTGGTTTGCTCATGGGCTGGTAGGGGTGGGCCCGGAATAAGTACCATAAGTCCTCACTTTGGGCCACAGACTCTGTCCAGAATTGGCAGTGAGGCCCCCAGGCTTCAAGCTGTCCCTGGCTTGAAGGTGAAGTTTCACCAGGGACCTGCCCCTTTCTGCCCAGGAACCTGTCTGCCTCCTGCCATCAGCATGCCATCCACAGCCCAGGCTGTTTGTGCTGAAAGGCAGCTGAAGGCCCACACAGAGCTTCCCTCAACACCCTCCTGACCTCTCTCCTATGCTTGTTCGCACCCAAAGTCCAGAGGGAGCCAAGACAGCAGAGGGTTGGTGTTTTAGTGCCACCCAAGGGTGCGCACACCCAGCCGGGTCACGACAGCACCGGGGGTCAGCTACAACTTTGACCCTCCCTGGAGCAGTGCTGGGAGTGGGGAGAAGCCAGGGAGTGATAGCAGACACTTCTGAACCTGCAGGGGTAGGGGCCTTCCTGGGCACCAGAAAGTGGTGCCCAGGTCCAGAGCCATGGCTGGGTGGCTGCAGCCTTACCCAGGAGTTCCTGCCCACAAACTAGGTAGGAGGCACAGTTCCTGCCTGTTCCTGGCCCCCACCAGCTCCGTGGAGTAAGCAGCCCTGGTCGCACCTCCCCCACTGAAGGTGGTGTCCTCCCAGCAGCTATTCCAGATGGCCTGCCATGGCCATCACAAAGAGAAATCATCTCACACCAGTCAGGATGGCTATTGCTAAAATGTCAAAAAATAGCAGATGCTGGCAAGGCTGCAGAGAAAAGGGAATGCTTAAACAAGCTAATAATTCTTAAAGGGAAAATTGGAGTATATATGATAAAATTTGGAATTACTTAAATTAATTAAATAAGCCAGTTAAAAAGTGATGAATAAATTATGTCAGAAAGATCATGGGAAAACCATAACAAACTATTTTCTTCTGGAATTATATTTCAGAATTTGAAAACTCATATTATGCATTCTTTACATAATGAATATACAACTCTAAACAATACCTAGAGTGCTGAAATTCCAGAAAGAAGAAAGTTATGTAATTCAGAGGAAGCTCAATCAAAAGAAAAATAATATATGGACTTCATCAATCAACTCAAATGCCATTTTGACTATTTGGGATGATATTTGTTCTACCAATATAAAATGTAATTAGCAAGTGGTGAGAGAAAATACGAAAAACTGCAATTACTGATTTATTAATTTTGGAAGTTTAGAGATAAAGCAATTACAAAGAGTTTCAAAGAAAATTGGCTACAATTTTATCTCATAGTAACCTAGAAACAAAAATCATCAAACTTTTATTTAATACAAATTAATATCTCATGAAGACAATCAACTCAAAATGAAATTCAAACTACTATACTCATTATGAAAATGTATTATTCACATGTAATATAATGGTATTATCAAATTTTAAATGCCTATTTAAAATGAGCATTTTGTACTTTATATTAATTTGTAACAGTTTCAGATTTCTACTGAATTTATTGAAAATTATAATAGAAATTTAATGCTTTTGGTAAATACATGTTTACCATATACTTTCTGTATATGTATATTAAAAAAGAATTAAATCTCATATTCAAAAATTGAACAAATTTAAATATGCATGTCAGAAAAAATTACCACTTGATATTTCAGGTATATATCAAAAGATGATTAAATGATATCTTACAAACAATTCTATTACATCTGTCCCTTTATCAGAGCTGTCACTCTCCATGAGTAAAAGAGATAACAACTGAATTTGAAAGTACATGTCGAGTCCTCTAATTTATATTCTTCCTCTAGACTAATTCACTTACTAGTTTTATAGAATGCCAGTTACATCAGAAAATAATTTAGCAGATTTCTGAGTTTAATATGGCAAAGCAGAAATTTTATATTGTTTTTTCTTCAACATCCTACAACAAACAAAATATAAAAGAAAATGGAACACTTGTTTCATATCTGTTAATAATTAGAGATGTTTGCTTTTCTTTTTTCTTTTTTTTTTGAGATGTAGTCTCGCTCTGCCGCCCAGGCTGGAGTGCAGTTGCGCAGTCTCAGCTCACTGCAAGCTCTGCCTCCCAGGTTCGTGCCATTCTCCTGCCTCAGCCTCCCGAAACATTTTATACGTAGGCATAAAATGTTTGATTACTTTCTAATCTATTGCTATTTGGTTATGTAATATAACACTATATATGCATTTTAATTAATTCAGTAGCTGGGACTACAGGCGCCGGCCACCACGGCCGGCTAATTTTTTTTTTTGTATTTTTATTAAAGATGGGGTTTCACCGTGTTAGCCAGGATGGTGTCGATCTCCTGCCCTCGTGATCCACCCGCCTCGGCTTTCCAAAGTGCTGTGATTTCAGTCGTGAGCCACCGCGCCCGGCCTGCTTTCCAAATTATAGTACATAAAGATAAAAAACATGGATGGGGGAGAAAACAGTATCACTAGGATGATAAAGGTAAAACTGGTGTGTGTGTAAACTGGTTTATACCGTGGAACTGGGTAATGTTTCAGCAATTGGAAGAATAATGCACCATAGAAAATGGAGATAAGGAGAGTGTAGTAGTGGAAAAGGAGAGATTTTTGAAAGAGCCTGAAAGTTGACCTTTATAGTCACACTTAAATCTTGTACAATTGAGTGAGGAAAAACTTCTCTACTGAGCAAGCGAGTAGACTTTGATGTTCTGGAAAAAAGGAAGGCTCTGAGAAAACACACTTAATCTGTCATTATGAAAATAAGAATGGGTAGGGCGCGGTGGCTCACACCTGTAATCCCAGCACTTTGGGAGGCCGAGGCGGGCGGATCACGAGGGCAGGAGATCGAGACCATCCTAGCTAACACGGTGAAACCCCGTCTCTACAAAAAATACAAAAAATTAGCCGGGCGTGGTAGCGGGAGCCTGTAGCCCCAGCTACTCAGGAGGCTGAGGCAGGAGAATGGTGGGAACCCGGGAGGTGGAGCTTGCAGTGAGCTGAGATCGCGCCACTGCACTCCAGCCTGGGCGACAGAGCGAGACTCTGTCTCAAAAAAAAAAAAAAAAAAAAAAAAAAAATGAAAATAAGAATGAAGCGTCCTTGAAAGATTGGTTAAACAACAACAACAACAACAAAACTATCTTACCCTACACAAGACTGAAGCTTTGTAGTCAAGAATTTTGAGGATGTTTCAGAATGTTCTAAATTGCTCAAGAGAAAAGATCAATAAATAATACCTTGGGTTTTCTTACAGCAACATTTATCTGTAGAATTTTACCTGTGTAAAATAGTGTGTATCTGTTTTCTTCTCATACAATTAAAAATCACATTCCTCAGGTTTCCTGGTAGATAAGGTTCTGAATTAAAATTTGACTTCAAGATTTACTAAAATTTGGAAAGTGGAAATAAGGTGGAAATTATCTTTCTGGTGTTTATGCCATATGGACAATGTTAGTGATAAAATATAATTGTTGAGAATATGTTATAGCCTTCTGATCTGGAGGCAGAGTGTGTAATCACCATCAGCATAGATGTGCAAATTTGTTGTGACATCAGCAAGGAGTTTCTGATACATATATTGCAGTTATTACCATGTTCTTTGAACTAAACCATCTAAAATATGAAGCTGCCCTCTTTTTCTCTAGACCTTCAAACACGATATTAAGTACCTAATTTCTGTAAATCCCTTTGTATATATGAATGGATTTCCATTATCTACACTGAACCTGATAGAATAACTAAATGCCTTATATTGGAAAAGAAAAAAAAAAGTATACTCTCAGCACCTCCACCTGCACCCCCGACAACAACACACTGGGATAAAGATTTTAATCAGTTCTCTTGTGCTCTACAAATTAATAAAAATGAAAATCGGGCTCATCCTATTTGAACTAAAATATTTACTGCTATAATTAAAAAATGTTAAATATAAAACTGAGTCAAGAGAACAAAATAAATATGAATGGGGGGGAAAGCTACTTAAAATAGCTGAATGGTTTGAAAGTGATTGAGTCTAGGAGCAATAGGAAGTAAGGGGTACCTTGAGAGGTCTATATGAAGCTTTCAACAGTATTAGAATTTCTAGGTAATTTACCTGATATGTTAAATAAAAATTAGAAAATAGCAGAGCAGTGCTGCAATGAGTAGACTTGAATGCATTAGCAAACCTTATTCTCTTTAAATATATGTATAGTGTTATACACACAGTTTGTGAAGATTAGCTAACTGAGCTGCTATTATATCATTGTAAATTCTCAATATATTCTAAATACAGATATGTTACTATGTGTAATTCCACTTATAGTGTGTACATAGGCATAAAGTGATTACTTTTTAATCTATTGCTATTTGGTTATGTAATATAACAATACATATGCATTTTATTTAATTCAGTAAAAACCATTATTGTAGGTGTCATAAATCTAGATTTAAGATATTTAACTCACAATGGATTTAATAAAAAAAGAATTCAAATATGTAAATTATTGAGATCACATGACTTATTAAAACATGATATTTTATATTTTTCAAATTGTGGGTTTGTTTTATAAACAACATACTATTATATGAACTAAGAGGATCAAAATTAAAGTGTTTAAAATGGAAAGGAAAGGAGCAGTAGTTTCCTGATTTTCATTTGAAATAAAGAACTTGAGGTCTCAAACATATTAAGTCATTCCTTTATTCTATCTCCTTTTGAATCTCAAACACAATAATTGAAAAAAGTTTGTGTCTATTTGGGGTTGTGACAAAAATGTATCAACTATTTCTTTACGTTTTAGTAGGACTTACTCTACACCTTTGTAAGAGGCATGACTAAGAATACCAAAAATACCATTAATTTACCCATTTGATTGAAGTACAATTGACTAATACTATTTATTTCTTGCCAATAGTGGGCTACATTAAATACCATATCATCATGAAAGCATGTTAATTTGAGTAAATGCTAGAAGTCCAGAAATACATCTTTAGGACTATTAACATCTCTTTATTCTCTAAGGCATTCAGTATGCCACAGCTAGAAATTTTTTTAATGAACAGTGGGAAAGTAAAATAGTATGCTATGTAATTAGATGTAAAGAAGATAAATATAATTATAGCATCTGGAGGCTGGTGGGAAGTCATCCCATTGCGACTCATGACTGAGAATAATTGAGTAAGTGAGTCTAAGGTTACTAAACAGATTAAGTTCCTGGATATGAGTGAACTATGTAACCTTCTCATTGGTGATTGCTTTTTATGAAGAAAGTCTACCTGTCTGAAAAATTAGTTGCAAAATCTAGCTGTCAGTGGTGTAAAATTAATAGTAGAATTTTAGGTGTTGTTTTTGTTGTTTAAACCCTACTTTTTTTTTTGCCTTTACATAAATACAATTTTCCGGCAAAATAGATTATATAATATATTACAAATAGTGTTCATAAATTTTATGCTGGTAAATAGTTTACACTAGTTGTTAATATCCTTACATATTTAAGATGACTAACTCTTTTTGGTAATAGTGGTATTAAGGTAATAATAATTTTGTTAATCTTAAAATATATGACCTTATTTTAAAATTTATGTCAGCAATACCATTAAATACATTTGTAAAAGTTGGTAGAAATTATCTGTTAATGGGACACGAAGAGACTAGGTGATTATTCCTGTAGAAGACAATTAAAATTGGAAAAATGTACTTAAAACAGATACTTGAAGCACTCTGAAAATGGCCAGAGGGCAAAATATGAAAAGAATTTAGTGTTGAAAGATTGCTAGTATATCAGGTGTGTGCTATGTACAAGACTTCCCTCAGGTGGCAAACTGTAACCTTATAAGTTCCAGTGGTAGATGATGGAGTTCAGAGCAGCTGAGCCATAGGATATGGCTGGAACATTCTGGAAGTCAGACAGCCACAGACAGTTTGAGATTCAAAATTAGAGTATAAACTCTATTCCAATTTCTGTCTGACTGTTATATTTTGCATTTTGCATGAGACACCAGAAGCCTGGTTGAAAAGTGGACATAAACCAATGCACAAAACAGGTGGCAACACAGTAGATGTGTTCCTGATTGAGATGTCAAAGGGCTGTTCTTAGTTCTTGTAAAGAACTAAGAAGGTCTGTATTGGAAAGTCTGAAAGTCTACCCAAATCCTTAAATTACTAGTAGACTGAGACGTTGCAGGGGCAATCCACACAAAGTGAGGTCTAAAATGAAGTCAAATTAGCCACATAGAGACAACAGTTCTTGTACATGACAGGATAAAAAGATTCCGGATGAGACCATTCAATTTCACGTCTAGTGTAACAAAATACAACTGTTCACAGAGAAATAGAACCCAGAGTCATCAACATTCTTGCTGTCTACAATGTTCAGTTTTCCACCAGAAAATGTTAGACATGAAAAGATACAGAAATTATCACTTATAATCAGAAAAAGGCCAGGTATGGTGGCTCACACCTGTAATCCCTGCAATTTGGAGGCCGAGACAGGCAGATCGCTTAAGTCCAGGAGTTCAAGACAAACCTGGGCAACATGGTGAAACCCCCATCTCTACAAAAATACAAAATATTCACTGGGTATAGTGGCACGCACCTGTAGTCCCAGCTAATTGGGAAGCTGAGACTGTAGAATGGCTTGAGCTCAAGAGGTTGAGTCTCGCTCTGTCGCCCAGGCTGGAATGCAGTGGCACCATCTGGGCTCACTACAACTTCCACCTCCCATGTTCAAGTGATTCTCTTGCCTCAGCATCCTGAGTAGCTGGGACTACAGGCACGTGCCACCATGCCCGGCTAATTTTTTGCGTTTTTAGTAGAGATGGGGTTTCACTGTGTTAGCCAGGATGGTCTCCATCTCCTGACCTTGTGATCCGCCCTCCTCGGCCTCCGAGAGTGCTGGGATTACAGGCGTGAGCCACTGCACCCGGCCAGGTTGAGGCTTCAATCAGCTGGGATCACACCACTGCACTCTCGCCTGGACAACACAGCAAGACCCTATTTCAAAAAAAAAGTAAATAAATAATAAATCAGAAAAAGGTAGTCAATAGACAATGACTCTGCATGCCCTCAGGTTTTGAATTTCACATATAAATACTTACAAAATTGAAAGAATTTAAGAGAAACGTGGTATAATAAGAGAACAGCTAAGAAAACTTATATTTGTTTTTATTGCTGTTGTAACAAATTGCCAAAGGTTCAGTGCCTCAAAACAACATAGATTTATTGTGTTATAGTTCTGAAGGATCATTTATCTGAAATTATTATCTTCAGACTTAAGTAAAGGTGTCAACAAGGATGGCCTCTTCTGAGTGCAATAGAAAAATTGTGTTTCTTGCCCCTTCTACTTCTAGAGGTTGCCAGCTTCCCTTGATTCTTGGCTGCATCACTCCAATCTCGGTGCCTAAGGTTATATCACCTTCTCCTGTAATATCTCAAATATCTCTTTATCTCCCTCCTATAAGGACATGGGTGATTATGTTTAGGGCCTACACAGGTAACCCAGGATAACTCTCCATCTCAAATCCTTAACTAAATCATATCTTCAAATTCTCTTTTGCTACATGAGGCAATATTCCCAGGGTCTAGGGATAAGGACATAGACATCTGTGGGGACCATCATACAGCTGATAACACAGCTAAAGAGAAAATGTAAATAGGTGCCAAATGAAACACCTAGAGCTGAAAATTTGAAAAATGTTCTGTCTCTTATAAAAACGGGTATAACCGTCAGTAATATACCAACTTCCATCACCATTCTTTGTGACACAGAGATGTGTGTAGATCTAAATTCTTTTAAAAAAATAAATAAGACTTTATTTTTTAGAGTATTGTAGGTTCACAGCAAAACTGAGCAGAGGGTACAGATATTTTCCATATATTTCCTCCATTCCACCCTGCCTGCACAGCCTTCCTCATTATCAATATTGCACACCAGAATGGGATGTTTGTTAAGACCAGTGAACATACATTGATGCATTATTAGCACCCAAAGTCCATAGCTGACATTAGGATTCACTCTTAATGTTGTGCATTCTATGGGTTTTTATAAATGTATAATGACTACAATAATACATAATAGTTTTACAGTCCTAAAGATCCTCCGTACTCTGTCAGTTCATCCCTTTCTTCACCCAACCCATACCAACCATTATTTTACTATATTTATTAGAATACCAACATACCTACAGAATGTCATATGATTGGACTCATACAATATGTAGTCCTTTCAGATTGGCTGCTTTCACTTAGTAATTTGCATGTAAGTTTCAACAGTGAATGAGCATTCTTGTTGCTCAACATTCTTTCTGGAATTACATTCTCATAGATGTTACTTTATGTCTGCCTGAATGAATAATTTTTATGTGCTGAACTTTTGTGTTTTCATATTTCCTTATGTAAAAATAGTTGGAGAAAATAATATAGCTGATTTCATCTTCAAATTTATGGGCTCAGTCTCCAAATACACTTTCAATATTCTCTGGAAAACCTACCATATTTTTTGTTTAAAGCTTGCTTTTAAACTCTTCAAGATATCTATTGCTTCCTCCAATATTCTTACTCTTTCAATTCCTTCCTCCCTCAACATAATTTATTTTCCCACTATCAAATCTACAAATATCTCCAAAGGGACATGTGTACTTCATTCTAACAGAGTAAGAATTCACATGTGTGGATCCCATAATTTTGAGAATCACATTATTTAAAAAATCTAGAGGTTTTTCCCTTGATATTTCCTCTGTGTTCCATGTCATCAATCTCCATATCTTTGTTGTCTCAATAGCATGAAAATATGCTACAATGTATCTCCTTTAAAATAACAAGTAAATAGCTAAGCAAATATGCAAAAATTTAAAATGCCCAGAAAAGAAAGAAAAAACGAATCATAATTCTCCAGTTATCACTCCATTGCTTTAAAATTCAAATCCAAATTATTAAACTTTTTTTCTTACCTGCATTGCATTCATTTCTCAACCCAGTTTTCTCAACTCTCAGAAGTGTTTAACATTGCTGGCCACTTTATTTCATATGAACCATGCCATTCTCTGGGCTTCTCTGGGAATCTACTTTCCTGGTTCTAGTTGTCTATTTCTGTGTGCTTCTTCTCAGTCACTTTGGCAGGTGTCTTATGCTCCTGACCTCCAATTATGGTTATTCCCAGGCCTCAAACATGGGCTACATGTCTTTTATCTACATATTTTCTTTAGTCGATCTTATCCTATTCCATATTTTACGTATCATCTACCTGTTGATGGTGATTGATTAATATAATAGATAGTTCCAAGCCCAACCTCATCTCTTTTCATAACAAATCAGTTATGTATCTTGATTTGTTGTTCTGTGAATGCATTAAATTTAAGATATGCAGAATTGTACCTCTTGTTTTTAATAACGAAACCTGTTTCTTATCCCGTTTTTTTTCCATTTCAGCAAATGCCATCACCATCTAAACAGTTGCTCAAGTAGAAATATTTGGCTTACTAGTCATGTGCCAGGTGTTTTGCATATCTTACCATTCTTTAAAGCAAACAACCTTATAAATTAGATATCATCATTCTCATCTGAAATACTAGGAGTTTGTTGCTCAGAAGGCTTTAGAAAGCTTTCACATCACTTAGACTTCACTCCAACACACTGAGCCCTTTCCATGCTACTATGTAAAAATGAAATATAACTTATTTTAAGAGAAACATAATGTGATTCATGCTTTCAAAGTCATCTTACCTTCAAATGAGGCATCTGTGTGTCGGGCACTTATGCCTAGTGATGATTTCATTGCTCAAAACAATTTCAGCTCTTCATTGCATTCGGGTATGCTTAGCATTGTTTTTGATGAATCTAAATGCTAGCAAATACACTTTTTAAGAATTATTCTGCTATAGAGAAGAGCTAAAGGTATTTAGACGTTAAATAAAATAAATGTTATTGATCAAATATAATTAAGAACATTTCATTTAAAATAATGCAAAAATAAGCTGGGCATGGTGGCACATGCCCATAGTCCCAGCTACTCAGGGGGCTGAGGTGGCAGGATTGCTTGAGGTCAGGAATTGGAAGCTCCAGAAAGCTATGATCAATCATGCCACTGCACTCCAGCCTGGATGACAAACAAGACTTTGTCTCTAAAATAAATAAATAAATAAATAAACATAAAAATTAGAGATACAGTAAATCCTTTCAATGTTTGTATATATTTATGTGTTTATGTACATTTGTATTCTAATTTCCTTTCCATGTTGTCACTCTGAGAAGTATATGCGTATTCCACTGATGATCTTTTGTTCAAGTAATTTTGTTAATCATCTTTTAGAATTGTTGAATTGGATACTTTACATTCTATGAAAATTATTTATACATTTATATTCATACTTCCTATTGGAGTAGAAATTTATGTATTCTAGTAAAAATATTTCTCTAAACAGTTATGAATTTTTATTCACCTATTTATGTACTAAACTGTACAGAGAAAAATATATTACAATTAGATATGTGAAACTAATTGGTTTTAATTACTCATGTAGACCTAGTAAGGTACTAGCTATCTGTCTGCCTCTGTGCTATTAGGGCAATGGGTTCCTACTTGACTGATGTTTGGGAAGAAATGGTTCCAGGCTGCCCATAGTATTTGCACAGCTTCTCCTGCTGATATGCTACATATACACTTGAATTGTAAGAAGAGGAAATCTCATATATTCTTAAAAAGCTACCCTCCTGCTCTTAGAAAAGCTGCAAATTTGTTTTGGAAGAAAAGAGAAAAAAAGGAATCTTTGTCTTAAATATTATATGCCTTTGAAGAGGTAAAGATTAATCATAATAATATTAATAGTAATAACAAGAACAACTACCATTTATTATGGGTTAACTGTGTTCTACCCATTCTCTGCACTTTAGAGATTTGATCACATTCTTTCCTTTCTGTCCAACAGTTTACTGTGAATCCTTGTTTTCTTTTTTAATGCCAAAGTGAGACTTACAATAAGCAAATTACCCAACTTTAGGTAGCAAATAAGTGGGGAGCCAGTAATCTGAACTGTTTGTCCTCAAATCAAAAAATAAAAGAAAAACAAAACACTTCTTTGGTTAAATCTGTCATCCTCCAAATTACTTGATTATGGAAAACTTCGTTTCTCTCCATCTCAATACTCCATATTAACATCTTGTAGAGTTAGTGTCCCATGGAACACTATTCAGAACATAAAATTTGCTTTTAACTTGTTCATTTTGAATAAAAGTAAACAGATGAAGATATAATAGGTTATTTGTTCAAGCTCACAAAGTTACAAACAGAAAAGCAGACACAGTACCTAGGACACAGTATGCGTTTAGGCATTTAGAATATATGTTTTTATCTCTTTTTAATTTTTTTAACCTCAGTCTAGCACCTTCCCACTATAATAAAACTGTCCAAAAATAAATAAATAAATAAAAGCTGATCATAAGGACTTCGGATTCATTTAAAGGATTTTATCTTCATAACAACAAAAGATAACTTTATTATTTGGGATCCTATTATTTCCTACTTATGTATCTAGGTCCTTTTATGGATATTACTTAATTTAGGTTTTAAAATGATTCTATATAACAGTCATTATTTTTCTTCATTTCTCAAGTAAGAATACTGAGGCCAAAATATATTATTGTCAGAAGAAATAATTTATAAGTAAAACTTTTTTCATTTCAACTCTGATTTGACTAAATTGTATTTTGTAATCATTAAGAGCTAAGAGGTAGAAAGTGAGTTTGAGAGTAAGAGCAAAAGTTAGAAGAGAGACAAGTAGGAAGGTTTTTCCCTAAATGGGTAATTTCCTGTCTTTAGATAAAGTACCAAAGTAATTAACCTCTCAGCAGATACAGACAATTGCAAGAGTTGTTAACACAGAGGGCATACTGAGGCATTATATGTAAGACTCATGATGTTTTACATCCTTAGAATGGAGTCAGGAAAACTTAAAATTAAGAAAATGAACAATAGTAATTAAACAAAATTGAAATGAAAATAAGGTCCCATTTAGTGGAATGTGAAGGACTCTTGAACACCTGCAGGTCTGTTTTACTAGTTCATATTTCCTCAGTTCTTAGCACAGTGCCTAGGACTTGCCGGACATTAAAATATTTGTTATTGCTTCATTTTTAACAATTTTTCTTCATAGAGGGCATTTTGTTTGGTTTTGTTCATTAACGTGTTCTTCAGTAACCTTTGAGAGATACACGTGTAATACAGGAATACTAAATACTACTACTAATATTAATAATAAAATAATAATGGAACATATAGCTTTATTCTATGTGTGCATTAACTGTTGATTAAGATCCTTTATGTTCAAAATTTCTGACACTTGTTAAAGCAGTAAAGAAGACTTTATTCGGGACTATTGTGATAGCTGTCTATAGCAATAGAAAAGAAGCATTGGGATCAACTGTGAATACAAGAACAAGTGAGAATTTGTGGCCAGGGAGCAGCTTGGGAAAGTTGGTGGGATGAAAATTACTAAAAGGACATACCAAGGATAGAGACATTGTTGCTCAACTGACCTAAGAGAAATTTTGTTGAAGGCAGGCAGAGTTATCAGAGACAGAGTTTAATAAGATTTACAGGTTCTTCGGCTATCATGGCAGGATTCCCTGTAAACCTTCTTAGCAGGTTCTTTCTAAAACTGGGCTATGCAGACCCAGGAAGGATCCAGCCAAGGTCAAAGCCTTGTCAAGAAAAGAGCATAGAAGGGCTTGACCAAAGTTGGTTAAGGAGAGATTCTTTGTCATATCGATTTTAATATTTTAGAGTTCTATGATTAAAGTAAAAGGTATATTCATAGTAACTTATTTTTCAGATTTTTATACCAAAGGAGTTAGTCTTCCCAGAAAGCTCAAGTTGACACATAGTACCCTACATTACAGACAGGACTCTGAAGGGACATGAAAAACCAATTCAACTAGATTCCAATTAAAAGGTCAACCAGTGAAAGTGGATTCCCCAAATTTAATGATTCATATCTTAGTGATATTTTTATATCAAAAGAAATCCTAAATTCACCTTTTTGGTACCCTGAAAACATAATTTGTAATGATTTTATACATGATATTGAGGTTATTAGGCAAACACAGGGGGTTTCTTTTTCTGAAAAAAAAATTAGATAAATTTTTATAATGATAATACAGTTCATATGAAAGTTAAAATATTAAAATGACAAATCTGGCTTGGATTCAAAATTAATTTTACTGATCTTTGTCAGCCAGTGTATATGTGACCAGAGCTTATTGAGAAGGGAGGGCAGAAAATTATCGAAAATATTTGACCATATATTGTGTTGAGTAAACATATACTTAAGGGAACAAGTGCATGAAAGATAAACTAGATGACAGGATTGTTTTAGGGTCATGAAATTTTAAAAGAAAAAAAAACAAAGAAAAAATGTAGGAGAGGATTGTTTTACAATACTAAATTTGTATGCCTCTAAAATAATTTAATTTTAGTACATCACATACTTCTTTAAGGAGACTTATTTCAGTTCCAGAAAAATGGAATGTCTGACCACTAATGACAATATCCATATTTCTCATCCAGTGTGAATAATCAGAAAAAGTTGCATCCTTTGGATTTCAAAAAGATTAATAGTTTACATGAATATTTAGAATTTGATGAGTAGAGCCATTTACATTTTATATACTCTTCTATTGGTTCAGAATTTTACATTTTTTCTTTCAATATTTATATAAGTTATTTTTCTGGTAACTTCAATGATACTATCCTGTTCTCCATGTTATTAAAACCAGTAATTCTATAATTTTCACTTAATGCACTCATTAATGCATTTCTCTATATTGAAAAAATAGAATATAGTCCATAATTGTCAGACCAGTTTTTGGAAAATGCTTAAGGGTAAACCTAGAGTCCCTTGAAAGAAAAGTACTTTTCACATATTCTAAAAGACACATACTTTATAAAATTTATAAGCTTTATTTAAATGTAAGTGGCTTTTAAATATTTACTTTATTCTTAAATAAACATATTGAGAAGGGAAAAAATAGTGTTCTATGATCCCTTCGGAAATAATAAATATATTTTTGTTACAACTTAAGGTACTATGTTTCTTTTTCAAAAGAATGAACAAGCCATGCGAATATTTATCTAGGAAACTAGGAAGATCTCTATATATGTTTTACTTTCAATCATAATGTGTCAAATGTCTGAACCAAAATTTTATTTATATACTAAAAGATACAAGATGGAATGTGTTTTCTGAGATTTGTTTCACATCAACCTTTTTGTGGGATGGGTGTTATGAATGTAGGTATAAATGAAACGAGATTTACTACGTGCTAAAAATTGTTGAACCTAGGTGATGAGTACATGTGTTTTTAAAAACATGTTGTAATTTTTATGTTTGAATGTTTTTTAATTCAAAATATATGTAATATTTTATATTTTCATGTATTGGTCAGAAAATTTACTTGCGGTCAGTGTTTACGTAGAAAGGTGGAGGAAAGTTAGAATAATAGCCTTTGTTTTTATGGCTGGCTTTGGGGAAAAGGGATTTTGCATTCTATGACTTCCCTAGTGGAAGAAAACACCAGATATTATTCCTACCATCTACCTATATTTTTGTATCAATTAATTAATTCCTTCTTTCCCCACCTCCTCACTCCCATTCTGAGCCTCTGGTACCATTATTCTCCTCTACTTTCACAAGATCAGTTTTTTCTTTAGCTTCCCAGTATGAGAGAGAACATATGATATTTGTCTTTCTGTGCCTGCCTTACTTCATTTAACGTAATATTCTCCAGCCTCATCTATATTGTTGCAAATAAAATAATATAATATTTTTTTAGGCTGAATAATATTCTATTATACATATGTACCGTATTTCATTTATTCATTCATCTTTAGATGAATATTTAGGTTGATTCCATATCTTGGCTATTGTGAACAGAGTTACAATAAACGTGAGAGTGCACATATATATTTGATGTATTTATTTCCTTTCTTTTGGATATACACCCAAAAGTGCAATGGCTGAATCTTTTTGTAATCTATGTTTCGTTTTTTGAAGAAACTCCATACTGATTTTCATAGTGGTTATATTAATTTAAACTCCAATGAACAGTGTACCAATGTTTCTCTTTCTCCAAATCATTGCCAGCATTTGTTATTTTTTGTCTTTTAGATAAAAACTATTTCAATTGGGGTTAGATGTCTCATTATAGTTTTGTTTGCATTTTTCTGATGATTAGTGATATTGAACATTTTTTATACACCTGTTGGCCATTTGTAAGTCTTATTTTGAGAAATGTCTAATGAGATCATTTGCCCATTTTTAATTCGTATGAATTAACTGAATTATATGAATATATGCATTGATATTGAGTTCCTTATATATTCTAGTTACTGATCTCCTGTCAGATATTTGTAGTTTGCAAATATTTTCTACAATTCCATAGTTTTGTATCAGGGCAATACTGGCCTCATAGAATGAATTTGGATGTATTACCTCCTCATCTATTTTTCAGAATAATTTGAGTAAAATTTGTACTTGTTCTTTAAATATTTGGTAGAACTCAGCAGTGAAGCCAATAGGTCTTGGAATTTACTTTGATAGAAGACTTTTTACTATGCTTCTATCCCATACTTGCTATTGTTTTTTTTTTAAATTTCTTCATTATTACATCTTAGTACGTTGTATGTGTTTAGAAATTTATCTGTTTCTTATAGGCTTTCCAATTTGTTGGTGTATAGTTGCTTACAAAAGTCTATAATTATCCTTTAAATTTCTGTGGTATCAGTTGTAATGTCTCCTTTTTTGTCTGTAATTTTTGGGGCTCCTCGATTTTCTTAGTCTCATTAAAATTTTCTGAATTTTGTTTATCCTTTCAAAAACTTTTCTTTTGATTTCGGTGATCTTTTGTACTTTTTAGTCTCAACTACATTTATTCCTGTTCTGGTCTTTATTATTTCTTTTATCCTACTAATTTTGGATTCACTTTGCTCTTGCTTTTCTGATTTTTTAAGATGCATCATTAAGTTGTTTATTTGTAGTCTTTCTACTTTTTGATCTAGGTATTTATCAGTATAAATTTCCCTCTCAGTACTACCTTTACTGTATTTCGTAGATTTTGGTATATTTTGTTTTCATTTTTATTTGCTTTAGAAATTTTTAAAACATTTTCTTAATTTTGTCATTGGCCCAATGGTTATTCAGAAGCACAGTGTTTAATTTCCATGTATTTTTACAATTCCCAAAGTTCCTCTTTTTATCGGTTTCTAGTTTTATTGTGGTTACCATGAGGCTTGCAAAAAAATACTTTTAACCAATTATTTTAAACTAATAGCAGCCCTGTAATCAGAGTTAAGTTGACATTAGTTTAAAATAACTGGTTAAAAATATTATTATTTCTTTTTTAAAAATAAAAGATAAAACAAAAAGAAAACAACAACAACCACAAAAAACCCTCTACTCTTTAAGACCCTTCCCTTCACTTTTTGACTTTTTTGTTTTTATTTAAATATTTTTACATTGACCATCTCCTAAAAATTGTTGCAGTTATTGTTATTCTTTTATAGGTTTATCTTTTAGTCATCATAGGAAAGACATGAGTGGTTTACACACCATAATTGCAGTATTGGAGCATTGTTTTATTTGTCTACTTACTTTTACCAATGAGTATTACACCTTCAGATATTTTCCTGTTGCACTTCAGCATCCTGTTCTTTTAGGCTGGGGAGATCCCTTTAGTATTTCTTGTAAGACTGCTCTGGGGTTAATGACTTTCCTCAGCTTTTGTTTGAGAAAGTTTTTATTTATTCTTTATATTAGAAATACAACTTTGTTAGACACACTATTCTATGTTTAATGTTTTTGGGTTTACTTCCTTTAGCACTTTGAATGTCATCTCACTTCTTCCTGGTTTGCAAGATTTCTACAGAGAAGTCTGCTGCCAGACATATAGGAGCTTCTTTATAGAGTCTTTGTTTCTCTTCTCTTGCTGCTTTTAGGATCTTTTTTTTTTTTTTTTTTGTCCTTAACCATTGAGAGTTTGATTATTATATGCTTTGAGGCAGTCTTTTTTTTTTTTTTTTTTTTTTTTTTTTTTTTGAGACGGAGTCTCGCTCTGTCGCCCAGGCCGGACTGCGGACTGCAGTGGCGCAATCTCGGCTCACAGCAAGCTCCGCTTCCCGGGTTCACGCCATTCTCCTGCCTCAGCCTCCCGAGTAGCTGGGACTACAGGCGCCCGCCACCGCGCCCGGCTAATTTTTTGTATTTTTAGTAGAGACGGGGTTTCACCTTGTTAGCCAGGATGGTCTCGATCTCCTGACCTCATGATCCACCCGCCTCGGCCTCCCAAAGTGCTGGGATTACAGGCGTGAGCCACCGCGCCCGGCCGAGGCAGTCTTATTTATGTTGGAATCTTCTGGTACCTAGATATTCATATCTCCCCCTAGGTTTGGAAAGTTCTCTGTTATTATTTATTTGAATAAACATTTTACCCTGATCCTTTTATCTACACCTTCTTTAAAGCCAATAAGTCTTATATTTGCCTTTTGTAGGCCATTCTCTAGATCTTGTAGACATACTTCATATTTCTTTCATTTTTATTTATTTTTTATATTCTGAATATTTATTTTCATGTGGTCTGTATTTGAGTTCACTAATTATTTGTTCTTCTTGAATAATTGTGCTTGATTAATTAGTTGTGACACTGATGTAGTTTTTGGTTTGTCCAATGAATTTCTCAGCTTCAGAATTTCTGTGTAATATTTTAAAAATTATTTTAATTTCTCTGTTAAATTTCTCTGTTAGACTTCTAAATTTCTTCTCTAGGTTATCCAGACATTTGGCAAACTTCCTTAAGACAGCTATTTTTAAATTTTCTGTCTGATAGGTCAAACATCTCCATTACTCCAGGATTTGTCAGTGGTGCCTTATTTAGTCTGCTTGATGAGGTCGTGTTTTCTGGATGTTCTTGCTGCTTGTGGATGTCCACCAATTTCTGAGTATTGAAGAATTATTTATACCAGTCTTTGTAGTCTGACTTACTTGTATCCATCCTTCTTGAAAAGGCTTTCCACAAACTCAAAAGGGATTGAGTGTTGTTACCTAAGCCTGTGGTCACTGCAGCCATTTCATTACTAGGGAGCGCCGTAAGCCCAGGCATGCTATAGCTCTTGCAGTGTCCTTGGTATACAGTGTTGGTGAACTTGGGAATGATAAGGAAGCATTCCCTGGGTTCCCAGGCAAAGTCTCTCATTCCTTTCTTCTCTTGTCCAAAAGCAGAAGACGACTTTCTTCACTAGGGACTGCCTGGAATTGAAGGAGGCGTAGCACTGCTACTGTCAGGCTGCCATTGATGTTTATTCAAGGCCCCAGGCCTCTTTGATCAACAGATGGTAAATATTGCTAGGACTTGGTCCATCTTACCATAGCAGAAGATTCTTTTCTGGCCCAAGGTGGATCTAAAAATGCTATCCAGAAGCAAGCACCCAGAATCAGGGGATTCAAGATTTTGTCTGGTGCTTTATTTTACTGTGGCTGAACTGGTACCCTCAAGGCGAAGTCCTCTATACTCTTCTCTTTCCTTCCTCTAGTGAGGAAGTCTCCCTCTGTGCTGCACTGCATGAATTTGGGGGAGAGGTGACATAGTCATTCCTGCGGTCCTCACAGCTGGCACAGTGCCTGGAAATACCCCAAATCCATGGCCTCCCAGACCAACATGGCAACAGGGCTCACCCAAATCCTTGGCCACTACTGCCTGGCTACTGAGGATGTTTATTGAAGTCCCAAGGCCATTTTAGTCAGCATATAGTGAATCTTACTAGAATTCGGTCCATCCTGCCAGGGCAGCAGAGTCCCCTCAGCCCCAAAGTGGGTCTAGAAACACTGTGGGATCAAATGTTCACAATCAGAGGCTTCAGGATTCCACCCAGTACTTTATTTTACTATTGCTGTGCTGGTACCCAATTGTAAGACAAAATCCTTTATGCTCTTTTCTCTCCTTCCCCCAAGCAGAAGGAGTTTCTATCTGTACTGCTCTGCCTGCAATTTGGGTAGCAGTAATGCAACCCCTCCTTTTGCTTCAGCTAGTGTCACACTGAGTCACACCACAAACTCACAGCCTTCCAGACCAGCTCAGCATCAGGGCTTACCCCAGGACTGGAGTTGCTATGCTCTGACTGCCACTCAAATTTATTCAGGGCCCTGAGGCGTTTTAATCAGTCGGTGTTGAAGCAGGTTGGGACTTGAGTTCCTCTCATTGGGCAGAGGATTCCCCTCTAGCCCAGATGTGGTCTAAATGCTTTCTTTATGGGCAACAGCAGAAATATTCCTGGTGTGTGTTCCACTATGACAGGGAAGCCCAGAGTTCTAACACAAAATTTCACACTCACTTTCCTCTCTCGCCTTCAAGCACACAGATACCTTCTTCTTGCTGGGATCAGGTAAGGGGAGGTGTAGGAATGCAAAATTGTCCTTCCTACCCTCTTCAATGCATATATTCTTGTTATTATGAAAAATCAGGTACTATGATAGATAATTCACCTGATTTTTCTATTCTTATAAAGGTATTTTCTTGCATAGACAATTGTTCAATTTGGTGTTCCTGCAGAGGGATGATTGGTCCAGTATTCTATTTACCCATCTTGCTCTGCCTCATCCTCAAAATCTATAGCAATTTTAATGTTTCTCTTTATGACAATTTTTTAAAGTTTATAATAATCTAATTATCAATGTAATTGTCTTCTGACTAAACTGGGACTCCTTGTTTAAAACTATCTCCCACTGGAACTACCAGTATCTGGCACATAGTACAGACACTCAATAACAATAAATATATCTTTAATTAAAATATTAATAAAAGTCCTTCATTCAATGGCTGCCTTGGGACAAGAATATGTTGTATCAGAAAATGCAATTACATTTTAACTATGGAGTATCTATACATGTTTTGTGTGAATCTATTTTTGTATAGAGCTAGGAATTATTTATATCAATAGATTACATATTTGTCTTATGTATTTGCACATTTATTCAAAAGTGTGTCTTCTAGAAAATGAACTATAAAGCAGTGTGTAATTCATGAGCTTGCATTGTAGTTCAACAAACTAAACTCATAAAGTCAGATTTGCTAGGGCATAAGAAATGCTGAGAAGTAAAATAAAAGGATATAAATTGATGGAGAATTTCTTAAAGAAAGTGTTGTTGCATGTATTTGTATAGATGAAAGACTTTTCTGACAGGGTAGCATTTGAGCAAGGCCATGTCTTAAGTGAGGATGTGGGCCAAGTCCCCATCAGAGAAAGAGTCCAGACCAAGGGGATTTCCATTACAAAGGTCCTCAGGCAGGAGTGTGTTTGGATGATTTAAGGAAGAGCAAGGAGGCCAGTATGGCTAAAGCAGTAATGAGTAATTCTGTATACCACTTTGCCAGTTTTCATAAATTTATCTTAAAGAAAAAATAAAATAAATTGGCCTGACACTATGTAATTGACTCTTATCTCTGTTCTACATCATTTTCACAAACATGTTTGATTTTTTTCTCTTATTATTACTCATGAAATAAGCTATAAATATGACAGAAGCTCTTCATTCCTTGATTAGTGAGGCACCATGAACAGCCCTAGTGAATCTACCTGCTAGGATAATGCATACTGTGAATGACATTTTAGTTTCTAAGATGTTTGGTAAACATCTAAATAGACATGATAGTAATATTTGTACTATGACTAATTGTAATAAATGCTGGTTTATTTATTTCTGTGACCTTCCTTTTTTGTGTGGTTAATTGTGGCTGATCTGTAAAAAATGTTTCAAATTGCCTAGGAAATCAATTTTTTTCTTCTTATATAGATAGTGTATACCTTCACCCCCTGGTATCCATAGGGTATTGGTTCCAGGATGCCTTTTCACCCCTAGTGGATACAAAAATCTGTAGATACTTAAGTCCCTTATTTAACAACCTTCAAAATGGTGTTGAATTTGCATGTAACCTACACACATCCTCTCATATATTTTAAATATCTCTAGGTTCTTTAAAATACCTAATGCAATGCAAATTCTATGTAAATAGTTGATACACTGTATTCTGCTTTATTTGTATTACTTATTATTGTTATATTTTTATTTTTATGGCTTTTTTTCCGAATATTTTAGAACTATGGTTGTTTGAATCTACAGATGTAAAATCCAGGGATGTGAAACTCACAGATACAGAGGTCCAACTCTATTTACACAGTATTTTTTAAAAGAGAAAAACTGAAACTAAAAAAAATCTTAAAAGTTCAAAAAAATAAAAAAGACAAATGAATTCAATAGTTTTTAAAATAAAGCTATATCCCAATATTAGATATCAGCATAGAAACTAAATGGGAATATGGGGGAAAATAATATGATTTGCCTATTTAACAAAGTTGATTTAAGAAATAGCAAACTTTACATTGAAATAATATATTCTCCACTGTTTTATTCTTTTACTTTAAAATAATCACCTGTAAAAACTATGTCATTATGTAAAACCATTTGGCAGTTTCTTATGAAGCTAAACATGTACTTACCATATTAACCAGTAACCTCGATCCTTTTTCTTTACTCAAATTCATGCAAAAATTTGTGCATGAATGTTTATAATAGCTTTATTCGTAATTGCCAATTCCTTCAACTCGTATATGGATAACCAGACCGTGATTCATCTATGCAACATAATACCACTCAGTAATACAAAAAAAAGTAACTCCTGGGGCACACAAAACAAGGATAAATCTCAAACGCATTAGACTAAGTAAAAGGAGCCAGACAAAAAAAAATCCTAAATATTGTATGATCATATTTCTAAGATGTTCTTGCAAAAGAAAACTATACAAAGAACTCATCAATGTTTGCCAGGAGTTGGGGGTGGGAGAAGAGGCTGACTACAAAGAGCACAAGGGAATATTTTTGAAGTGATTGAGATTATATATCATGATTGTGATGGTGGCTGAGAACCTACTGCAATCAACTTATAATTGTCACCAAATACAATCTAGGAAGCAATGTAATATGGTAAAGATTACCAAAACCAAAACCAGTTTCTTTGTCTACTTGAACACAAGTTCCTTGTCTACTTGAACACAAGTGAAAAAAGAAATCCTCTCTTATAATAGGTCTTTAAAATGCTGAAAGTTTTTCATTAAAGATGTTATTATTATCTTATCTGACACAAGAACTTTGCTAAAAACCTTTATCCTGACTGAGATGTCTAAAATTTTTACTCATTGCCTTACAAAAGAAAATCATTAATTAATTCAAGTTCTGTAAATTAGATGTCTAAATTTGTATTAGGGAAAAGTTCATCTATATCATAGGGCACAACATATCACTTAGCAATTCCCTAATAAGCACTCTGTTGTGCCCACGGGATTTTTTAATCTGGACATTTCCTATATACAAACAATTATTCCCCTCTTCATCAATGTATCCCTTCACTGAACATTACCTGTATGTTTAGTTTGAACTGTATAAAATTGAAATTTTACAGTTAAATATTTTTCACAAACATAGCTAGACCTGGTTCTTGTATTCTTACCCTTTCCTATTTCAGTCTACTGTCAAAGTTCCGGATTTCTTTTTATTTTAACATATTAATTACAATTTTAAAAATTAAAAAGCATTTCTTGGGATTGGAGTTTTTTACAAAGAGGAGAAATTTGCAAGGATATATAAAGGCAAATATAAATACTATAATTTCCAGTAAAACTTTATCCCAACTGAATTAATACATTCTATAATTATGAATAAGCATTCATTCTTGAAATAGAGAAAAAATTAAGACAAATTTGTGGCTGATTGTTTGTGTACTGTTATGATAAAAGTTAATTGTGATCTTGTATCTATCTTTGTTTCATACAAAATCGGCAACTCATGCATATTAAATTTGTGAATAAATTGTTAGGCAGAAAAGAGAAGAAATTCTAGTGATTAGACAATTATTGTCCTGTTAATCAATCATAAAGAAATGATCAGATAATTGAATTCACATTCAGAGTGTTTGATTTTTGTGTTTCATGGTTTATAATAACTCTACTTTTAAAATAGTATGGTACCATAGTCAACTGATAAATAATACAAGATTATTTAGGGAACAAGTTCATTTGCAGCATGTGCAAGACAGGTCCCTGGCCAGTTTGCCTAAGCCAGCTCTTCCCCCACTTTCTTGCCTGCATTTCTCAGAAAAACTGCAGAATGTGCTGGGAAAGCATTATTCTGAGATAAGGAGAAACTGTCTGGAATAGCTGGGCTCTGTTCCCATCTCTCCTAGAACAGGGTGCCCCACAATGTGTTAGCTCCATGACCCTAGTTTCCTCCAGAGTATAAAACTTAGGTTAGAGTGTTTGTGGGGTCCCTCAGCTGCAATATGAGGTTGGGCACATGTAGATGAGATTCTGTCTTTCCTAGAAAGCTTTCCTGAGCCTTGAGGGAGTGGCTTGTTATGAATTCTACACTTCTATTGTCCTTTGTTGTTTATTGGTCAGTAATAAGTTTGCTCCACTTAATATGTTGTATGAGTGTTCTCTCACCTGACTTGTGCAAGTCGTAGAGTATTTGGTGCATGGTAAACTTGCTTCAGTCAGCTTTACAACAAGAATCAAGGTCAAAATAATGTGAAATCATTAACAAAGCTATGAATAGTGCCAGCAATTAATGTTTAGGTTAGTATTAGCATGGACAAGCAGCCATTAGATTATTCAGAAGTCTTCACATATTAATGTTCTATAACATCATCAGATGTTGAACAGAGAGTTGCCAAATAAGACATACTTTAATAAAGAGAAAGATAAAAACAAACAGGTCATTCCATGAAGTTAGAAAAAGTAGTCTAGAAGCAATCATTCCCCAAATCTAGACAGCTAGATGTTCACACATAGATGGGAGCATGGAGGGAGTTTCCTGTTCCAGGTTTAAAACTTCTATTTGACAGTTTCGAGTTTAGTGTTCTCCCTGCTGCACCTGTTATTCTGCAGGTGTGATTCCGCAGTTGGTGACACTTGATTAAAATGAGGAGGGCAATGACAGAAAATCAGCAACAGGTGTTCCTAAGCAAATACACATTTAATGTACATTCTGAAAGTTTTTCTCATTTTTATTGATGCTGTCACTTGAACACTTAGATTTCTTTTCTTTATTGTAACATTTTTATGAAACATCAAGTAGAGATTCATATGTGGGTACATAGAAGGTGTATATATTTATGGGGTACATGAGATATTTTGATGCAGGCATTCAAAGCATAATAATCACATCAAAGTAAATGAGGTGTCTATCACCTCAAGCATTTCTTGCTCAATTTTTATGTATGTGTTTTTTCTCTGAAGATTGAACCATGGTAGTTTTTAACATTAATAGTTCTGGTTTAAAGGTAAGTTAACAACTCAGTGACATTTGATGATTTTCCTAAAGTCACAGAATTAATAATAAGAAAATCAATATTTTAATTGGATGGATGTGCTGGGGGGGTGGTGGGGGTGGTGGTGGTGGTGGTGGTGGGCTGTTACAAGAGATTGCTGCATTGTAATCTTTTCATACCTTTAGTTGTTTATTGGGTCCACTTCTTCCTAGGAGCAGAAACTAAGATTTAGTTTATTTGTTGGGATCAATACACACTGGCAAGTGAGTGTGGCAGTAGTACAGGGAAGGTAATGCAAGCCAAGAGGATATATTGGACAGCTGGCTACCTTGAACTAATCCTGCAAGACCATGCTGGGACATGACAGAGAACACATGCCTTTGATATATCATGGCCAAGAGGAATGGGAATCAAAATATTAATAATCCCATACTTGTCAGGCATTGCTGAAGGGATATTCTCTGCAGGGACATAATTTTCTAGTCACTTCTGGCTCACCTGTAAGAGAGCACACAATGTAGGTTTCAGCTAGTCGGGGATATCCCACATGCTAAGATATGGTACTGACTATTAGAAATGTGATCAGAAATCCTACAAAGGTGATCTTAACTAGCTTAGGCTGCCATAAGAAAACGCAAAGACTCAGTGGCTTAAACAGAAGACATTTATTTCTCATAGTTCCAGAGGCTGGAAAATCCAAAGTCAAGGTATGACAGATTCAGTTCTTAGTCAAAGCTCTCTTCTTGGCTTGCAGATGGCTTCCTTCTCTCTCTAATCATAGCAAAGAGCAAAAGCTCCAGTATTTTCTCATAAGGAAATAAATCCCATAATGGAGCCTCCACCATCATGACATCATCTAAAACTAATTACATCCCAAGAGGCCCACCTCTCAACACTATCAAGAGTCAAGACTTCAACACGTGAATTCTGGGGGGCGGTTACAAACAATTCATAATGAGAGTCCAAACAATTATAGATTTAGTACTAACAAGTCTACCTCCAAATACGTAATTCTTATAAACATCTTATGACATCGATAGTATTATTATTCTCACTATAGAAATGAAAACAGAGAGACCTGGAAATTTTAGTAATGTTCTCAAGATCACACAGCCTAGAAAGACAAAATAGCCCTGCTTAGTTCTCTGTTTCAAGTCGGTGATTTTAACTTCGTTTTTAGTCTTCAAAGATGTGAGTTTTTCTTGATTTTATATTTGTTTAGTAATAAAGGCTAATGTGTTAACAGTAATAATATAAAATAATGTTTCTTTTTTTACCAAAGATTTTATCTTTTGAACCACAGGTAGAAACTGTGCCTATATGAATGTGGAGTAAATCTAAATTTACTAATTAGGTAAATTACTTATATAGTAATATCACACAGCAGGATTTAGAAATGTCAGTTGTGGGTTTTCTAGGCTACTCAGAGCATTCAGCACAACCCACAGCAAGGCATTATGTTCAAATGATGTATAATTCCCTGATGTTATTTTAGACAGCTTGTATATAAATGAGTACAGAAGAAAGGAGTGGAGTTGGCGTGGGAATATAAGAAAACATGTGTTGAGGGGCAAAGCAGGATAACCAAATAGAAGGCTCCAAAAATCATTGCCCCTGCAAGGACATTAATTTAACAATTATCTACACACAAAAAACACCTTCATAAGAACCAAAAATCAGGTGAGCAGTTACAGTATCTGGTTGTAACTTCCCACCACATAAGAGGCAATAAGAGGGAAGGAAAGACTGTCTTTAATTGCTGATGTTACCACTCACCCATTCCCTGGCAGTGACTCATGGCACAGAGTCTGTGCACTTGGTAGAGCACCAGTCAGAGTCATGAGAACCCCCTTCCAGGACCTAGGGCCCAAACAACCTTTCCAGACACACCGTGGGCTAAAAGGGAAACTACTACCCAACACTGGACAATTTACAAAAGACAGAAGTTTAATTGGACTTACAGTTGCACCTGGCTGGGGAAGCCTCACAATCATGGCTTAAGGCAAGGAAGAGAAAGTCACGTCTTACATGGTTGGGAAGAGTCAAAGAGACAGAACGAGAGCCAAATGAAATGGGTTTCCCCTTTTCAAACCATCAGATCTCATGAGACGTATTCACTACCATGAGAGTATGGGAGAAACTGCCCCCATGATTCAATTATCTCCCACTGGGTCTCTCCCACAACACATGGGAATTATGGGAATACAATTCAAGATGAGATCTGGGTTGGGATATAGAGCCAAACCATCATTCCACCCCTGACCTCTGCCAAAACTTATGTCTTCACATTTCAAAACCAGTCCCCCAAAGTCTTAACTCATTTCAGCATTAACTCAAAAGTCCATAGTCCAATGTCTTATCTGAGACAAGTCCCTTCCACCTATGAGCCTGTAAAATCACAAGCAACTTAATTACTTCTTAGATACAATGGAGGTACAGGTACTGGGTAAATATAGCCATTTCAAATGGAAGAAATTGGCCAAAACAAAGAGGCTATAGGCCCCAGGCAAGTCCAAAATCCAGCAGGGCAGTCAAATATTTAAGCTCTGAAATGATCTCTGTTGACTCCATGTCTCACATCTGGGTCATGCTGATGCAAGAAGTGGGTTCTCTGGTCTTGGACGGCTCTGCCCCTGTGGCTCTGCAGGGTGTAGCCTCCCTCCCAGCTGCTTTCATGTGCTGGTGTTGAATGTCTGGCTTTTCCAGGCTCATGGTGCAAGCTGTCAGTGGATCTACCATTCTGGGGTCTGGAGAATACTGGCCCTCTTCTCACAGTTCCACTAGTTGTTGCCCAAGTAGAGACTCTGTGTGAGGGCTGTGACCCCACATTTCCCTTCCATAATGCCCTAGCAGAGGTTCTCTATGAGAGCCCTGCCCCTGTAGCAAACTTCTGCTTGGATATCCAGGTGTTTCCATACATCCTCTGAAATCTAGGCAGAGATTTCCTAACCTCAATTCTTGACTTCTGTGCCCCAACAGGCTCAAAACCACGTGGAAACTTCCAAGCCTTGGGGCTTGTACCCTCTGAAGCCACAGCCTGAACTGTACCTTGCCCCCTTTTAGTCAAGGGGTGGAGCAACTGGGAGGCAGGGCACCAAGTCCCTAGGCTACATGCAGCACGGGGAACTTGGGCCTGGCCCACGAAACCATTTTTTCCTACTAGGCCTGTAGGAAACGTAATGGGAGGGGCTGCTGCAAAGACCTCTGACATGCCCTGTAGACATTTACCCCTTGTCTTTGGGATTAACATTTGGCTCATCATTACTTATGCAAATTTCTGCAGCTGGCTTGGCTTGAGTTTGTCCTCAAAAAAAAAAAAAAAAAAAAAAAAGAGATTTTCTTTTCTATCACATTGTCAGGCTGCAAATTTTCCAAACTTTTATACTCTGCTTCCCTTATAAAATTGAATGCCTTTAACAGCTCCCAAGTCACCTCTTGAATGCTTTGCTGCTGAGAAATTTCTTCTGTCAGATACCCTAAATCATCTCTCTCAAGTTCAAAGTTCCACAAATCTCCAGGGCAGGGGCAAAATGCTGCCAGTATCTTTGCTAAAACATAATGAGAGTCACCTTTTCTTCCAGTTCCCAACAAGTTTCTCATCTCCATCTGAGCCCACTTTACCCTGGACCTTATTATCCATATTGCCATCAGCATTTTGGGCAAAAGCCATTCAACAAGTCTCTAGGAAGTTCCAAACTTTCCCACGTTTTTCTGTCTTCTGAGCCCACAAACTGTTCCAGCCTCTGCTTGTTACCCAGTTCCAAAGTCACTTCTATATTTTCAGTTATATTTTCAGCAATGCCCTACTCTACTGGTACCAATTTACTGTGTTAGTCCATGTTCATGTTGCTGATAAAGACATACCTTATGAATCTGAGTACTCCTGTATTGGGTACATATATATTTAGGATAGTTAGCTCTTCTTGTTGAATTGATACCTTTACCACTATGTAATGGCCTTATTTGTCTCTTTTAATCTTTGTTGGTTTAAAGTCCATTTTATTAGAGACTAGGATTGCAACCCCTGCTTTTTTTTTTTTTTTCTATCCATTTGCTTGGTAGATCTTTCTCCATCCCTTTATTTTGAGCCTATGTGTGTCTCTGCACATGAGATTGGTCTCCTGAACACAGCACACTGATGGGTCTTGATTCTTTATCCAATTTGCCAGTCTGTGTCTTTTATATGGGGCATTTAGCCCATTTACATTTAAGGTTAATATTGTTACACATGAATTTGATCATGTCATTATGATGTTAGCTGGTTATTTTGCCCATTAAATCGATGCAGTTTCTTCATAGCCTTGATGGTCTTTACAATTTGGCATGTTATTGCAGTGGCTGGTACTGGTTGATTCTTTCCATGTTTAGTGCTTCCTTCAGGAGCTCTTGTAAGGCAGGCCTGGTGGTGACAAAATCCTTAACATTTGCTTGTCTGTAAAGGATTTTATTTCTCCTTCACTTATGAAGCTTGGTTTGGCTGGATATGAAATTCTGGGCTGAAAATTATTTTCTTTAAGAATGTTGAAGATTGGCCCCCACTCTCTTCTGGCTTGTAGAGTTTCTGCTGAGAGATCCACTGTTAGTCTGATTGGCTTCCCTTTGTAGGCAACCCAACCTTTCTCTCTGGCTGCCTTAACATTTTTCCCTTCATTTCAACCTTGGTGCATCTGACAATTATGTGTCTTGGGGTTGCTCTCCTTGAGGAGTATCTTTGTGGCATTCTCTGTATTTCCTGAATTTGAATGTTGGCCTGCCTTGCTATGTTGGGGAAGTTCTCCTGGATAATATCCTGAAGAGTATTTTTCAACTTAGTTCCATTCAAGATCGGGAGAAATTATACCAGATTTTTAGAATACTAAAAAGTGAAAAAGGTAAAAAAAAAAAAAAAAAAAATTAAAAGAGACAAAGAAGGCCATTGCATAATGGTAAAAGGATCAATGCAACAAGAAGAGCTGACTATCCTAAATATATATGCACCCAATACAGGAGCACCCAGATTCATAAAGCAAGTTCTTAGAGACCTACAAAGAGACTTAGACTCCCACACAATAATAATGGGAGACTTTAACACCCCACTGTCAATATTAGACAGATCAATGAGACAGACGGTTAACAAGGATATCCATGACTTGAACTCAGCTCTGCACTGAGCAGACCTAATAGACATTTACAGAACTCTCCACCCCAAATCAACAGAATATACATTCTTCTCAGCACTACCTCACACTTATGCTAAAATTGACCACAAAATTGGAAGTAAAACACTCCTCAGCATATGTAAAAGAACAGAAATCAACAGAATATACATTCTTCTCAGTGCCACATTGCACTTATTCTAACATTGACCACATAATTGGAAGTGAAGCACTCCTCAACAAATGGAAGAGAACAGAAATCACAACAAACTATCTCTCAGACCACAGTGCAATCAAATTAGAATTCAGGATTAAGAAACTCACTTAAAACCACACTACTACATGGAAACTGAGCAACCTGCTCCTGAATGACTACTGGGCAAATAAAGAAACTAAGGCAGAAATAAAGATGTTCTTTGAAACCAATGAGAACAAAGATGCAACGTACCAGGATCTCTGGGACACAATTAAAGCAGTATGTAGAAGTAAATTTATAGCACTAAATGCCCACAAGAAAAAGCAGGAAAGATCTAAATTGACACCCTAACATCACAATTAAAAGAACTAGAGAAGCAAGGGCAAACAATTCAAAAGCAAGCAGAAGGCAAAAAATAACTAAGATCAGAGCAGAACTGAAGGGGATAGAGACACAAAAACCCTTCAAAAAATCAATGAATCCAGGAGCTGGTTTTTTAAAAGATCAACAAAATAGATAGACCACTAGCTAGACTAATAAACAAGAAAACAGAGAAGAATCAAATAGACTCAATAAAAAATGATAAAGGGGATATCACCACTGATCCCACAGAAATACAAACTACTGACAGAGAATACTATAAACACTTCTATGCAAATAAACTAGAAAATCTAGAAGAAACGGATCAAGTCAGCTTCATCCATAGAATACAAGGCTGGTTCAACATACACAAATTAATAAATGTAATCCATCACACAAACAGAATCAATGACAGAAACCACATGATTATCTCAATAGATGCAGACAAGGCCTTCGACAAAATTCAACAGCGCTTCATGCTAAAAACTCTCAACAAACTAAATGTTGATGGAATGTATCTCAAAATAATAAGAGCTATTTATGACAAACCCATAGCCAATATCACACTGAATGGGCAAAAACTGGAAGCATTCCCTTTGAAAACTGGCACAAGACAAGGTTGTCCTCTCTCACGACTCCTATTCAACATAGTGTTGGAAGTTCTGGCCAGGGCAATAAGGCAAGAGAAAAAAATAAAGGGTATTCAATTAGGAAAAGAGGAAGTCAAATTGTCCCTGATTGCAGATGACATGACTGTATATTTAGAAAATCCCATCATCTCAGCCCAAAATCTACTTAAGCTGATAAGCAACTTCAGCAAAGTCTCAGGATACAAAATCATTTTGCAAAAATCACAAACATTCCTATACACCAATAACAGACAAACAGAGAGCCAAATCACAAGTGAACTCCCATTCACAATTGCTTCAAAGAAAATAAAATACCTAGGAATCCAACTTACAAGGGATATGAAGGACCTCTTCAAGGAGAACTACAAACAACTGCTCAACAAAATAAAAGAGGACACAAACAAATGGCAGAATATTCCATGCTCAGGGATAGGAAGAATCAATATCATGAAAATGGCCATACTTCCCAAGGTAATTTATAGATTCAATGCCATCCCCATCAAGCTACCAATAACTTTCTTCACAGAATTGGAAAAAACTACTTTAAAGTTCATATGGAACTAAAAAAGAGCCCGCATTGCCAAGACAATCCTAAGCAAAAGGAACAAAGCTGGAGGCATCATGCTACCTGACTTCAAACTATACTACAAGGCTACAGTAACCAAAACAGCATAGTACTGGTACCAAAACAGACATATAGACCAATGGAGCAGAAAAGAGGCCTCAGAAATAACATCATACGTCTACAACCATCTAATCTTTGACAAACCTGACAAAAATAAGAAATGGGGAAAGGATTCCCTATTTAATAAATGGTGCTGGGAAAACCGGCTAACCATGTGTACAAAGCTGAAACTGGATCCTTTCCTTACATCTTATACAAAAATTAATTCAAGATGGATTAAAGACTTAAATATTAGATCTAAAACCATAAAAACCCTAGAAGAAAACCTAGGCAATACCATTGAGGACATAGGCATGGGCAAGGACTTCATGACTAAAACACCAAAAGCCATGGCAACAAAAGGCAAAATAGACAAATGGGATCTAATTAAACTAAAGAGCTTCTGCACGGCAAAAGAAACTACCATCTGAGTGAACCAGCAACCTACAGAATGGGAGAAAATTTTTGCAATCTACCCATCTGACAAAGGGCTAATATCTAGAATCTACAAAGAACTGAAATAAATTTACAAGAAGAAAACAAACTACCCCATCAAAAAGTGGGCAAAGGATACAAACAGACACTTCTCAAAAGAAGACATTTATGCAGCCAATAGACACATAAAAAATGCTCGTCATCATTGATCATCAGAGAAATGCAAATCAAAACCACAATGAGATACCATCTCACACCAGTTAGAATGGCGATCATTAAAAAGTCAGGAAACAACAGATGCTGGAGAGGATGTGGAGAAATAGGAACACTTTTACACTGTTGGTTGGAGTGTAAACTAGTTCAACCATTGTGGAAGACAGTGTGGCGAGTCCTCAAGGATCTAGAACTAGAAATACCATTTGACCCAGCCATCCCATTACTGGGTGTATATACCCAAAGGATTATAAATCATGTTGCTATAAAGACACATGCACACATATGTTTATTGCAGCACTATTCACAATAGCAAAGACTTGGAACCAACCCAAATGTCCATCAATGATAGACTGGATTAAGAAAATGTGGCACATATACACCACGGAATACTATGCAGCCATAAAAAAGGATGAGTTCATGTCCTTTGCAGGGACATGGATGAAGCTGGAAACCATCACTCTCAGCAAGCTATCACAAAGACAGAAAACCAAACACCACATATTCTAACTCATAGGTGGGAACTGAACAATAAGAACACTTGGACACAGGGTGAGGAGCATCACACACTGGTTCCTGTTGGGAGGTGGGGGGGTTGGGGGAGGGATAGCGTTAGGAGAAATACCTAATGTAAATGACGAGTTGATGAGTGCGGCAAACCACCATGGCACATGAATACCTATGTATCAAACCTGCGTATTGTGCACATGTACCCTAGAACTTAAAGTATATATATATACACACATATATATGTATATATATACACGTATATATATAACTTAAAGTGAGAGGCCTACCTTTCTGAGGTCAAAAAAAAATAAAAACATACCTGAGACTGGGCAATTTACAAAAGACATAGGTTTAATTGGACTTACATTTCTGCATGGCTGGGGAAGCCTCACAATCATGGCAGAAGGCAAGGAAGAGCAAGTCACATCTTACGTGGATGGCAACAGGTAAAGAGAAAGAACGAGAGCCAAGTGAAATGGGTTTCCCCTTATCAAATCATCAGGTCTTGTGAGACTTATTCACTACCATGAGAACAGTAAGAGAGAAACTGCCCCCATGATTCAATTATCTCCCACCAGGTCCCTCCCACAACACGTGGGAATTATGGGAGTACAATTCAAGATGAGATTTGGGTGGGGACACAGAGTCAAAACATATCAATACCCCATTGACCATAATATGATTACTATGCATTTCATGCGTGTATCAAAATGTCTCATGCAACCTGCAAAGATACACACCTACTGTGTACCTTCAAAAATTAAAAAAATATATATTTTTAAAAAGAGCACATGTATTTCTATAATAACAATTTTAGAGAGCTAGATAAATCTAAAGGAAGCATGCTTGCAGAAAATAATACTTGTTTTGAAATTCCTTATAAACCTTTACTATAATTTCAGTGCAAATCTTAATCTTTCACCTTTAGTTTTTGTTTCCCTTTGGAAACCTATTCAACAAATATTTATTGAAGACCTGTTATAACCCTATCATTTTGCTTTGTCTTACAATTATAGGTGAACAAGACAATCAGGATTTCTACCCTACAAAGTGTTAAGGAAGACAGAAAATAAGCAAATCAATACACAACACATTGAGATAAGGGCCACGATGAAAATGTAAACAAGTGGATGTCATAGGAAGAGTGGAAGAAGTCCTTCATGTTGGGAGTTTAGGGAATAGATATTTCAGAAGATGTGGTTTAAGGTGAATGAGAGAGTAAGCTAGCTATGAGAAGCATGTCATAGAGAAAGTGTATTAGTGCATTCTCACACTACTAATAAAGACACACCTGAGACTGGGTAATCTATAAAGAAAAGAGGTTTAATTTGCTCACAGTTCAGCATGGCTGAGGA